>NC_000001.11:236941697-237093212 GCF_000001405.40 Homo sapiens
GGCAAACAGAAATGTATGAAGAGCGCAGATTGCGTTAAGTTATATCCCCTGGGGTGAGCTGATCATTCACTCTAACCTCTAGGGACCTCTGCATTCTCTCCCCTCTGCTCTCCAGTGGGCACACACTACTCCATTTGGGCTGCTAAAACAAAAATACCTTAGGCTGGGTAAATTATAAACAAGAGAAATTTGTTGCTCACGGTTCTGGAGTCTGGGAAGTCCAAGATCAGAGTGCCAACAGATTCTCTGCTTCATAGGTGGTGACTTGTTCCTCACGTGGTGGGCAGGGCCAGGGAGCTCCCTCCAGCCTTTTTTATAAGGGCAACTAGTTCCATTCACATGAGCTCCACCCTTGTGACAAAGTTACCTTCCAAAGGTCCCACCTCTTTGTGTTAGGGATAAAGTGGAATCTTTGGGTAAGATCCCCACCCCCCAATCAAAAGGGGAGAACTTCTGGTGGGGAGAGTCAAGGGGCTGTCAACCCTCAGTCCTTGTACTTTTGGATGGCTCCATATTACAGCCAGTGCTCTAAACAGGTATGGACAGGCTCTGGCTTGTGGGGAAGAGGCCCTTGAGCCTCCATACCCCACCCCAACCAAGGAGGCCAAAAGGAGGTCAGCATGGGGTCTGTGGATACCACTGAGGGGGCTTCTACCTAAAGCTGCTCATGGAGCTTACCCCATGTGAGTTAGTTGGGGTTCAACAGAATCAATAGTGTGTGTGTGTGTGTGTGTGTGTGTGTGTATGTGTGTGTATTTTCATAAGTTGGGGAATCAGTTCAAGAATTGTGGAGGCCTGAAAGTCTGAAATTTGCAGGACAGGCTGGCAGGCTACAGACCCAGGGGAGTTGATGTTGTGGCTCAAATCTGAAGGCCACCTGGAGGCAGAATTCCTTCTTCCTCAGGGAACCTTAGTCTTTTTTTCTTAAGATCTTCAACTGATTGGATGAGGCCCACACACATTATGGAGAATAATCTGATTTACTCAAAGTCTACTGATTTGAATATCAATCTCCTATAAAAAATACCTTCACAACAACATCTAGACTGGTGTTTGACCAAATACCTGGGTACTGTGGCCTAGCCAAGTTGACACATAAAATTCACCACCACTCCATGATTCTTTTCAGGGGATTTTTTTTCAGTTTTTCAGGGGAGAGGGCAGCCATGGACTTTCCACATGCCTCTTGACTGCAGAGTTGCAGCAAACAGGAGTATGAGAGTCAAGGGTTCTGAGTCTTGCTATCCGTCTCTTATGAGAATACCAACTGTGCATGGCTTTGTCTCCCACCCACCCTTCCCTCCTTGTCCGAAATAATATAGTAAATGTTCTTCAACTCCAGGAGTTCAAGACCAGCCTGGGCAACAAAGTGAGATCCTGCCTCTACAAAAAATACAAAAATTAGCCAGGCACGGTGGTGCACATCTGTAGTCCCAGCTACTGGAGAAGCTGAGGTGGGAGGATCTCTTAAGCCCTGGAGTCTGAGGATGCAATGAGCTATGATTGCACCACTGCACTCCTGCCTGGGTGACAGAGCAAGACCCTGTCTCAAAAAACAAAACAAAACAAAACAAAACAAAAAAACCAGCCAGGCACGGTGGCTCATGCCTATAATCCCAGCACTTTGGGAGGCTGAGGCGGGTGGATCACAAGGTCAAGAGATCGAGACTATCCTGGCCAACATGGTGAAACCCCGTCTCTACTAACAATACAAAAATTAGCTGGGTGTGGTGGCACCCACCTGCAGTCCCAGCTACTCGGAAGGCTGAGGCGGGAGAATCGCTTGAACCTGGGAGGCCGAGGTTGCAGTGAGCCGAGATTGTGCCACTGCACTCCACCCTGGCAACAGACTGAGACACTGTCTCAAAAAAAAAAAAAAAAAAAAAAAAAAAAAACCTCAGTCCATGGTGTTTTTGTTACGGCCACTTGAGCTGTCCAAGAAATTTGGAGATGGGTGGACCTGGCTTTGCATGCCAGCCCTACCATTTGTTAACCACTTGACCTTGAATTTCTTGAAGAAAGAGTTCTTGAAAATAATTTGTGAGCTTCTAGGAGACAGTGTGGGCAGTCCCTGGCACATAAAATGCAACTCACAAGCATTGGTTTCCTCCACTTGTCTGTAAGGCAGCTAGGAGGGTTTCCAGGGCCCAATAATGGGTACATAAAAATTACCTGGCTGTATCAAAGGAAAGGATAAAAACAGATTGGACTATTAACTTGGGTGATGTAAATACTGATATTTTGGAATGAGTAAAATTGCTTTGGATACCTTAATTCTGATGGGCTATCCTAAATTTCAGAGAAAACATGTAATGCTAGGATGTCTACATCAGACAGTAGAAAGCTGCTGAAGGAAGACTCCGGGGATTATGGATGAGCTCTGCCTGTAACTTGCAGTGTGGCCTTGGGTAAGTCATTTTACCATTTGTGGACACCTATTAAGGGGATTGGGCTGCTATCTTTAATTTCCTCCTAGGTGTAATAGTTTATGATTCTAGATACCAGTGTTTGTGTACTAAGCGTGCTATTTTATAATTGACATCCAGTGGTATTAAGTGCTGTAACATGATGTTACTCAGCAACAGGCCTGTATAGTTTACAGCTAGAACAGTAATCATTCCCGAGAGCAGATGCCTGGTGTTTAATGAATTTTGCCTCTTACTACTCTTTTTGTGTGTGTGTGTGTGAATTGGTGCCTCCCTTCTCCCCCTACCTACTTACATAATCAGAGTCTAAATTCTGTTGACACAAGTTATGTAGTCTGGATTCTTCAGAAATTTCAGCTTATTTTGGAAACTCTGAATTCTATAATTTTTTTTTTGGATCTTGCAGAATAATCTTTTCCACTCCCCCAGAGAAACACTTTCAGTGCTTTTGTTTTGAATTAAAATAATAAATTCAACGTTATAAAGAAGAGGATGTTTTTCCCCGTGGAGTCCACCCTGGATCTAATCCTATTTTGTAAAAGCTTAACATTCATCAGAACTTGTTTGTGACATCCCCTCTTCTGAAGCAGCCCAGGACTCAGTCCTGCCACCCCTGTGACTTGGGCAAGCACCATCTGTCAAGTCCAGGTTGGGCCAGGCTGTCTAAGAGAAGGAGAAGGTATGAGGGTCCACTGAGTTTGCAGGGGCAACTCCTCCACTAGGCTTCTGCCACTCATGTGCTGTGCTTCAAAGACACAATCCCCAGCCTACAGAAGGATGAGAATGGGCAGTTACATCTACAGGCAAATGAGGCATAGACTCACAGTTGGATCCCCTTTTTTCTCTCCCAAATTCCAATCTCTCTAAAAAATACTGAACTTGTATTCAGAACACCTAACTTCCCATTTGGACCCTGCTACCACTAACTGTGTGGCCTTCAGTATGTCACTCAACTTCTGTATACTTAGTTTCCTCATACTCAAAAGAGAGCAATGGACTAAATTGGGAATGGCAAATACAAGACTTGCACATTATCAGCTGCCCTGCCCATGCAAGGGCCAGACATCACTAATCAATTGTAGCACTCCCAGCACTTGAGAAAGCCATTATTAATCGATTGAGGTCAACACACAAAATGGTAACTGACATATCTGCATGAAATGACCTCTAAAGTCTCCTTCAGATTGAAATATCAGAAAGTGGAATAGGTTGCCAGGGACCAGAATCTCCTCTACCTAGAATTAGGAAAGTCCTATTCGAAGGCAGAGCAATCGGCAAAATGAACTTAAAATTTCTATGATCATTTAGCAACTGAACTCAACTAAGCCAACATTTATTAAACATCTTCTATGATCAAAGCTCTCTGCTAGTGATGCTGGGATGCAAAGATAATGACCACCCTTTATCTCAAATAACTAAAAATTGCATAGAGGAAGCAGGCAGAATGGCCTACATGTAAATAGCAATACATAAGCAACACATGGGAGCCAAGGTGCTAGAAATAATTTTTGGCTGGGTGCGGTGGCTCATGCCTATAATCCCAGCACTTTGGGAGGCCGAGGCGGGCGGATCACCTGAGGTCAGGAGTTCAAGACCAGCCTGACCAATACGGTGAAACCCTGTCTCTACTAAAAATACAAAAAATGAGCCAGGCATGGTGGCAGGAACCTGTAATCCCACCTACTTGAGGCTGAGTCAGGAGAATCGCTTGAACCCGGGAGGCGGAGGTTACAGTGAGCCGAGATCGCGCCATTGCACTCCAGCCTGGGCAACAAGAGCAAAACTCCATCTAAATAAAAAAAAAAGAAACAATTTTTTACCCTGTCCTAAATGCTTTATATAAAATAATAATAATAATTTTGTCCTCTCAACAACTACATGAGGAGGTATTTGTATTATCGCCATTTTTCAGGCTGAGCAAACTGAGACCCCATGAGGTTAAAAAATTTCCCCAAACTCACACAACTAGTTTAATAGCAAAATCAGGACAAAAACTCAAGGACTTAGGCTCCAAGAAAGGATTCTAAGGGGATTAAGGTCAATGTCACAGTAGGTAAACATCTGACTTGGAAAATGAGAATGATTTTAATAGGGAAGAAAAGGAGCAGGACCTTCCAGGCCAAGGAGTCCTGAGAGGGTCTGGTGTGCTGCGGGCCTTGTTTATAAATATTCCCTAGCAGGTAGCAGCGTCCCCGGCTGTAGCAGAGGCTCAATCAATGTGGATTCTATACACGGTGTTTGGATGAACTCTAAGGTGCATGTAATGGGTGATAAGGTTGGCGAGTAAATTTGGAGAAAGATTTTGCAGGACTTGGAATGCGATGGTCATGAGCAGCAACTTGGGAGTCCCATTCTTGTGGAATTCTGAGAGGACCTGTGATGCAAGTGGTCTTATGCAAGGATGATGATTCTGGCATTAATGTGATTGATGGATCAGAGAGGCGACAGCCTGGATGAGGGCAGATGGGGCAGGAGGCTGGCAGAGTTGTCTGGGGCAGAGGAGACCAAGAGACCCTGAACAAGGACAGTGTCTGTGAAACTGAGGGAGAAATGCGGGCAGGTGAGTGAGTGAGTGTGGGTGAGCAGGCTCAAGATGATGCCACGGTTTGTAGTCTGGGTGACAGGGAAGATGTGACATGCACACACATGCAATGATGAATTCATGATCACACACGCACACCACGTGCATGCTTCTGTGTCCTGGTCTGACACTATTCTGAAGCTCATTTAGTGACCAAGTGCAGTATGCTTAAAGGCAATGAGATCCGATTCCACAATCTAGTGGCTCATCAGATTTACAAAATAGAAAGCGGAGCTGGCCAAAGAGAATACTCCAGAGTTTGAGTCATTGCAGCAGATGCCATGCAAGGCCAGGTTGATACACACAGAAGCAAAAGTGGGGGTTAACCTGAACCAGGTGGTTCTTTCTAGAGTGAGGGCCAACCTGAACCAGGTGCTTCTTTCTAGAGTGAGGGCCATTGCCTCTGACTTCAGAGGTGTTGATCTTAAGCAGCACGCTTCCAAAGGATCCAGGGAAATATTCTATCTGAGCACACAGTGAAGGCCAGGAAGCAACTACTCTATGCAGACATAAAAATAATGGGATGAACTGTCAGAACTGTCAACGTCAGGGGCAGAGAAAAACCTGTTAGCTCAGCTAGTTCAGGCCCAGTACCGCAACTGAGTCTAAGAGCTTGTCACCATGCAAAGCCACCTGGGAATGAGGTCTTTCCTGGGTCTGACTTCCTTCTGAAATACATCCTGTTGAGACTGTCAGATGGGTATGGAGTGGGGATCCAGTCCCGCTCTTTTGTTTACTGGCTGTGTCACTTGGCAAGTCGCTGACTGAAACTCTACAGATTTCCTCACCTGTAACACAGAAATATTTAGAAACATTCCTCCTGGGCTGTCATGAGGATTCAATGAGATTGTGCAATTAGCGCAGTGCCCGGCACATAGTTAGTGCTCAATAAACGTTAGCTGTGGTCCTCTTACTAGACTCATTCACAATTTGCACGTGTCTATATGGATTACGTGCTGTCGATCTCAGACAGTTTTCAGGTAGAATTTTTAATCAGGTTTTGAGTTATTTATAACAGATTCTAGCAGGAATCTTAAGAGGTCATTTAGTCTAACCTCCAGAAAGAATCCTGGATGTAATGCCCCTACTTCCATTTGCATTTCTTCTTACCCAAAGCAAAGCCTCTACGTTGGGAGTGGATATACGACACGCATGGAAACCAAACAATTAAGAGCAATTCCCCGTGAGGCGGCAGGCAGGCAGTTTTCAAATCAGCTGCTCTTGGCAAGGTGGGTGGCTGTGGTAAGCACAGGAGGCCCTGTGGGGCGCAGGCCTCTGAATCACGGGGAGACTTTCCAGTAGCACTCAGGCTGAGAGGTCTCATCACCAACAAGAGCTAGGGGAGGGGAGGGAGAGGAAGAACAAGAGGAAGCGGGGGAGCCAGAGAGGGGGAGGCTCAGAGGGAGACAGGGAGAATGCAGGGAAGAGAAAGAGAAAGAAAGAAGGGAAGAGAGGAGAAAGGAAGAAAGGGGAGGAGAGAGGAGACAGCGTGCAGAGAGAGAGACTTTTCACTTCTCCAGTAGAGGAAGAAATTGCAGTACAAGCATTGAAGATGAGCCATACCTTCTGAAATTCTAGAATTGTGACTAAACTACACAGCGGCAAGTAAGAACAGATATAGCCAGAGCTACAGAGATGCTGTGGATGACAATTCCAGATTTAGCATAAAGCCTTTCGCCTCTTCTATTAGGCTCTATTTGCTGGGCTTCCCCTGCTCCCAGCTTGTTACATAGCATCGGTTGTTAAAAATTCAGGTCTTCCCTGCGTGTCGTTAGAGTGAGTTCAACCTGGAGATGTTAGACCTTCACTCAGCAGATCCCCAGGAGCCTGGAGGAGCTCAGAGCAACAGCTTCCCTCTCTTCTCCATCTGCTAGAATTGGCCAGGGGCCTGACTTCTTGGCTGCAATCAGTTTCCTTTCCATTTCCCAGTTGGGATGGAGTTCCAGCCCCTAACCCCAGCCTCGCTTGCTGGGTCCCTGAAATCCTTGGCCAATTTCTGCCAGCACCTGCTCCACAGGGACTGAGCCCTGCTGCCTGTTGTCCTTGTAGCAGTTTTGGACAGAACTTTTTGGCTTCTGGCCTTAGCCTTCTGAGGACCCCTTGTTGCTGTTGCCACGCCTCTGGTCAGATCTTGGTGTCCATGTGACTCCAAGCATGACTTTAGATTATCTACAGCCCTGGGATTCAGCAACTGCCAGCACTGCTTGACGACGAGGCCCCTCTCAGGTTGGCATCCTCCATCCAACTGTGTCCACTCCATCTTTTATTCACACCGAGAAATCTCTTCTAATCATACAATGGGAGCCCGAGGATTCCCTGCAATGTATACAGTAGCCCTGATGCAGAAAAGGAACGAGGCCACTCTCAGAACCAATGACCTAATTTGTGGAGTCCAGTGCAAAATGTAAACGTGGGGCCCCTGGTTCCAAAAGTACTGAGAATTTCAAGACAGACGGAGCAGAGCATTAAGCCCAGCATGGGGCCTATTTAAGGCTGCATACCCACAAAGCCAGCCCTGGCTTCGTGGAACAAGAGAGGACACAGCATAGCCCAGAAAGCAATTCAGAACTGGGTGTGTGTACCTAAATGAGGACCTGGGCCAGTCCTGGACAGTGAGAAGAGATTGCGTTTATTCCAAAACCATGTTGTGGTCATCTGTCATTTATACTTGTATGTTGTATATTTGAATAAACTCAATAATTTTGGTAACCTGAATACTGCTCTTTTTGTAGAATGGTACCTGTCCTTAGTAAATAGCTTCTGTGGTTGTCACTGTCAGGCTCCATATTGAAGAAGTCTCTTAGGTATTGTCACAGTGTGAAGAGCTTACATGGCATCACCGTCAAGTTTCTGCTGCAAGCTGGGTGCGATGGTGCACGCCTGTAATCCCGGCACTTTGAGAGGCTGAGGCAGGCAGATCACTTGAGGCCAGAAGTTTGAGACAAGCCTGGGCAATATAGTAAAAACCCATCTCTACAAAAATATACAAAAATTAGCTGGGGTGGTGGCACATGCCTGTAGTCCCAGCTACTTGGGAGGCTGAGTTGGGAGGACTGCTTGAGTCCAGGAACTTGAGGCTGCTGGGAGCTGTGTTTGCACCACTGTACTCCAGGCTGGGTGACAGAGCAAGAACCTGTCTCAAAAACAAAACAAACAAACAAACAAAAAACCAGGGCTGGGCATGGTGGCTCATGCCTGTAATCCCAGTACTTTGGGAGACCAAGGTGAGCATATCACTTGAGGCCAGGAGTTTGAGACCAGCTTGGCCAACATGGCGAAACCACATCTCAAAAAAAAAAAAAAAAAAAATTAGCCAGATGTGGTGGTGCATGCCTTTAATTCCAGCTACTCGGGAGGCTGAGGCAGAAGAATCACTGGGACCCGAGAGGCAGAGGTTGCAGTGAGCCGAGATTGTGCCACTGCACTCCAGCCTGGGTGACAGAGTGAGACTCTGTCTCAAAAAAAAAAAGAAAAAAAATATCAAACCAACTAAACAAAAAAGCCTGCGTGTTTAGTGGTAACTTATGAAATGGAAAAAAAAAAAAAAAAAAAAAGAGAGAGAGAGAGAGAAGAGAAGTTTCTGTTACAGACGAGCTTGGGTGGCAGCCACTTTTTTTGTTTTATTGTTTTATTGTTTTATATTGGTTTTTGTTTTATTGTTTATTTTTGTTTATATATATATTTTGTTTTGTTTTGTTTTATTTTTGTGTGGTTTTTTTGTTTGTTTTTTGGTTTTTGGTTTTTTTGAGACAAGGTCTTGCCATGTTGCCCAGGCTGGCCACCTTCATTCTTGAATAACAGAAGAGGATTTTAGCCAGGTAGGCAGCAGTGAACACCTCGGGAATTCGGCCAGGTCACCGGTAATCTTCAGGCCGCAGTTGGAAGGGTATTTGGAATAAATCCTAGTGTGTGCTTTGCATCAATCCAACTTGCTTTTGCAGGAAAGAAAAGAGGGGGTTGTATTGGTTCAATCAACAAATATTCTACTCATCTGGGCAAGGCTCTATAGCAGCTGTTGCAAGCGCCCTGAAAGAGACTAAGACACAGTCCTGGCCCCAAAGCGCGTCCTCATTGAGGCAGTAGGTTGTGGTGTAAAACCAGTGGATTAGGGGTTGGTTTGGCCTTTTGTTCCTAACAATGTCCAGGTCCCACAGGCTAGGGAGGGCTACATTGGGTTTGTGGCTAGGTTCTGGGGGAACCCTGAGCAATTTACACCTTTTCTGAGACTCTGGTTCCTCATCTATAAATGGAGTGGGTAGCTCCTTCAAACACTTTTGTCAGGATAAAATGTTATGCTGAATCTGACGGCACATTGGAATGCATGTAAGACTATACCGTATCAGATCACAGTGATAATAAGGACCTTCCTCCTTCCCTTTCTCTGTGTCTTCCTTCCAACCCAATCCATCACCCTTCCATCAGATCACAGTGATAATAAGGACCTTCTTCCTTTGCTTTCTCTGTGTCTTCCATCCAACCCAATTCATCGCCCTTCCATCAGATCACAGTGATGTAAGCACCTTCCTCCTTCCCTTTCTCTGTATCTTTCTTCCAATCCAATCCATCACCCTTTCCATGTCTCAGACTCCCTTATAATTCTTTGGGAAACTTCTCCTGACCTTTTCCTGTTTGGGACTCACCTATTTCCCATTTCTACTCCAAACCTCAATTAGCTGGCAAAGAACAGAGGATGTGTAAACTAATTTACATAATTTACATTTAGAAGTGTATCCAGGCTGGGTAAGGTGGCTCACACCTGTAATCCCAGCACTTTGGGAGGCTGAGGCATGTGGATCACTTGAGGTCAGGAGTTTGATACCAGCCTGACCAACATGGTGAAAACCCATCTCTACTGAAAATATGAAAATTAGCTGGGCATGGTAGCAGGTGCCTGTAATGCCAGCTAGTGGGGAGGCTGAGGCAGGAGAATCGCTTGAACCTGGGAGGCGGAGGTTGCAGTGAGCCGAGATCACACCATTGCACTCCAGCCTGGGTGATAAGAGTGAAACTCCATCTCAAAAAAAAAAAAAGAAGTGTATCCATTTGCGCTGGCCACTGTAAGAACATAGCAGAGTTGGGGACTTAACAACAGAAATGTATGTTCTGACAGATCTGGAGGCTTGAAGTCCAAGATCAAGTTGTCGGCAGGGTTGGTCTTCCTGCGGCCCCTCTCCTGGGCTTGCAGAGGCCCTCTCCTCCCCGTGTCCTCACGTGGTCTTCCCTCTGTGTGAGGCAGTGTCCTAATCTCCCCTTCTCATAAAAGCGCCAGTCAGATCGAATTGCAACCTGCCCTAGAGCCTTGTTTTAACTTAATTACCTCTTCAAAGACCCTATCTGCAAATACAGTTGCATTTGGAGGTCCTGGGGATTAGGATTCCAACATATGAATTTGGGGGCACATAATTCAGGCCATAACAATGAGATAATGATAAATAATTCCCCTCTTCTAAAATTCTTTGCATTTGCAAAGAGGATGCTGAAAGAAAGAAAACTGTAAAGCAAAGGATGTCTGAAGAAGGATTTAGCATTTCAAGACCAGTTGGATGTGGGGGGTATTTTTGGCTGGGGACCCTCTTGGCACCCCTCACATACCAACATACAGACAGCCACCTGCTCTGCCCACGAACACGGCTGGCACTGGGTAGACAGACCACATTTTCATCTTCTTTCTGGATTCCAAAGAAATAAGCCAGTCTCACCTTCCTGCCTCTAAGGAACACCAGGGTTTTTTAACTAGTTCCTTATATGGCAGCTGTTTCAGCTCTGCCTGGAGAATTCAAGCCGTCAGCCTGGCCAACTGTTGAATACTACAGGGAGAGGCATTATTTGGCTCCCAGGAAATAAGAACTCCAAAATACCTACCATAGCAGGGCATAGCCCTGAAACGGCTGCCACTTCTCCGAGCCATGAAGTCAGTCTCTGCTCCAGCTGTGGCGAGTTGTAGAGAGATAAACGACCGGCTGTGTTTTTGTGGGGAAGAAAAAGAGAAATGAGCTTTTTAGCTTTCTGCAAAAAGAACAGGCCTCCTGCCTTGGGTAATTCAGACTCGTTGCTAGAATATGGAATATGTTGTTGGCAGAAAACAGACAGGTGAGCCCAGCAGGTATGAGCTGCTTGCAAGGGAGGGTGTCAGGAACTCCACCTGTTCCCTGTAGAGACTGGACTTCTTCAAATGATATCCATGACTCATTCTTTGCCTGGAAAAGACAGAAACCTTTCATTACCCCCTTACTTGTAGAAAATAGGTTTGTGTGTGTGTGTGTGTGTGTGTGCAGATATTTTGACAACATAGACATTTGCATTCAGAGACTGCTGGAGCTTTTAGAACTAAAAAAGTTACAAATACGCAATAATCTTATCTTGCTAATTCGTGAGGAATGCCCTTTCATATCGATATACACATACATGCAGTTGATTTTGTGCATTATAAAATAGGTGAAATGTTTTGCTCCATCCTCTGTCCTTGTTCACAGAAAACGAGGCTCACCACACATCCAGGCCATCGTAATAAGGATTGCTTTCTTAGTCTTCATAAAGATCTCAAGCTATAAGCCAAAGACTGTTGTTTGTTTGTTTCCATTTACAGCTTGCCAGCAGCCTGCTAGGTGATGGCCCAGAATCCATAACTAGCTGCAGTCTTGCCAGACAAGACCTGGGGAAGCTTCTCCATCTGCCTGCAGTGGCAATCAGACCTGTACTGATGAAATCAGGGAAGGCTGGGATTCACATAGTCAGAGAGATGAGGGAGGTAGATGTTTCCCTAGGACATGCTTTTTAGTCATTTGCTGAAAAGACTTTCATGGCTGTGTAAAGCTGCCAGCTGTCTGGAACAAAGGAAACAGATAAAAGGGACATTCTTGGGAATAAAGGGCATCACCACCTTCAGCAAAGAGGAATAGGACACAAGAACAGATATAGAAAAGATTCTAAAGGGAAAGGAAGATTCTGCTGCCCAAAAGAAAGCAAGATAGCAAAGGTCTCCTGGAGTTTGGATTGAAATAGGAGGTGAATGGTGACAAGGAGACTGAAAAAGCAAGTCAAAGGGACATGTGTCTGGATAGGTTGTGTCATAGTGTGACAACAAGTATGACACAAGTTAAAACAACCCAAGTTCATTTCTTATGCATGTTAACAGGCCTCACAGATTAGCTGGAAGCTCCATCTCTTGGCGTCTTATGATCATCCAGTAACTAGGCTGATGGAGGCTCTGTTGTGACACTGAGGCAGAAGGACAAGAACATACCTTAATTTATATTGAACACTGAGTGTTAAAGCTTCCACCCAAAATGGGCACATATAGCTGTTGCATTTTATTGCCAAAGCAAGGCACTTGACCATCCTGACTTCCAGGGGATAAGGAAGTGAAATCCCCACCGTACTTGGAAAGAGGACCAAAATTTTTGGTGAATAGCACTAGTAGTCATTGGTGCTACAGCAAACATCACAGACCAAGAAAAGGATGGGAGGGAGGCCCTGGGTGGGCGAGGCCCTGGGTGGGTGTGGTAACCATGGTCACACACATTGAAGGAGCTGGGGCAGGCTTCGAATAGGAATATAAATCTGGTAGGGAAATTATGTCATCAAGCTCCTATTTCTAAAGTCTTCAGCTGTTGCATTCATGCACATACACAGGCAAGCCATTGATTCTCATCAGGTAAGTAATATATCTTTAAGTATTACTTTTGCCCCGTTCTCTTTCTCCTGTCATTTGGGACACCAGTTACAACTATGTTAGAACATTTCACAATGTCCTATTTATCTCTTGGTTTTTGATATTTATCATCTTTTTGCTTGTTTGTTTCATCTTAGATATATTTTTTCTGACCTAGCTTCTAAGTTTACTAATTCTCTTTTCAGCTGTGTCTAATCTGATGTTAAACCTATCCAATATGTTAATTTCATTCATAATATTTATCCATATTAGAATTTCCATTTGGTTTACTTTTTATACTTTATAAGCATAATTTCCAGTTATTCATCAAAAATTTTATATTCTTAAACATATTAATCATGGTTGTTTTAAAGTTTGTGTCTGTTTATTATCTGAAATCCTTATGGGTCTGCTTTTCCTATTGTCTCTTTGTTTGGTCATATCTTATCTTCCTTTATGACTGATTATGTCTTGATAGGTATCAGATAATATATATTAAAATAGATAATTTGAGGCTCCGAATGCTGTTATATTCTTCTAGAGAGGGTGCACTTTTGCATCTGGCCAGCATCTAGGCTAGAAACACTAGCAATTTCAGGTCACATTAATTCAGCCAAGGATAGATAGATTATTTGAAGCTGGGCTTCAGGCCCTGTGAGGGCTAATCTATTGGTTCACACTTACTTCCAGGTACTTGATAGGTTAGGGTATTTACTAGGATCCCTCCTACTCAGCAGTCTCTGAAACCCGCAGTTCCTTGATTTGTGGAGAACTCTATTCAGCTTTTCAGTCTCTCAGCTTCCACTTTCAGAATTTGCATCTGCCTGTGGGGAAAAGTGGTCCCTAACTCCAGGATCATCTCTGGGCCTCCGTTCTCTCTCACACCTGTTTTCCTCACTGATTGGGTATCTCTCTGATGCCTCTAAATGGATATAGTTATATTTCACTAGGCTTTCTAGTTGTTCTGAGTGTGAGAACCATTTCCAGAAGCAAAACTCTAAGAAGTGACATTTGGATGAGATCTGAATGAGGAAGAAATAGAATTATCAAAATCTGGGGAAGAAGGTTCAAGGCAGGGGAAAATGACAAGAAAAATGTTTTGGAGTGAGTGAAAATTTGGTTTTGTTCAAGGAATAGAAAAACCATGGTGTGTGGAAATTAGGGAGCAAGGCGAATGATTGACATGCGGTCAGCAAGGGAGCAGGGGCCAGATCACATGGGCACTGGAGGCCATGAGAAGGGCTGAGGGTATTTTTTAAAGAATATTTTCTATTCACAAGAGCAAAAACATGGAATCAACCTAAATGTCCATCCATGGCAGGCTGGATAAAGAAAATGTGGTACATATACACCATGAAATACTATGCAGCCATAACAAAAAATGAGATCGTGTCTTTTGCGGGAATACAGAAGGAGCTGGAGGCCATTATCCTTAGCGAACTAACACAGGAATAGTAAACCAAATACTGCATGTTCTCACTTGTAAGTGGGAGCTAAATGATGAGAACACATGGACACATACAGGGGAACAACACACACTGGGGCCTATCGGAGGGTGGAGAGTGGGAGGCAGTAGAGGATCAGGAAAAACAACTAATGAGTACTAGGCTTAATACCTGGGTGATGAAATACTCTGTACAACAAACCCCCATGACACAAGTTTAGCTATGTAACAAACATGTGCATGTATCCCTGAACTTAAAAGTTCAAAAAAAGAATATTTGAAGAGAAATGGACCCAGTTCTCAATATGTGTTGTTGAATTGGTCTCTGCCTTCAGGGAACTTTCATAGAAGGGTGGTTCATGTCTTGTGTTCAGTTCCTAGGAACTTGAAATACATAAATGATCCAAAGACTCTACTTGTAGACCTGAAAACCTCATCCAAGATTCCTAAGTTTTTGATTTATCTATAAACCAGGCAGCTTACCTACATCAAAGTAGCTTCAGCAAATCGGAATAAACTCAGAAATGCCATTCACTGGCAGAGTAGCTGCCGGGACTTTCGGAGAAGGGCCAATTACCTCTTCTTTTTACCTCTTCTCCTGTTTCTTCCTTTCTCTCCATTGCCTGTTTTTGAGACGGAGTCTCGCTCTGTCGCCCAGGCTGGAGTGTGGTGGCACGCTCTCAGCTCACTGCAACCTCTGCCTCCCAGGTTCAAGCAATTCTCATGCCTCAGCCTCCTGAGGAGCTGGGATTACAGGCATGCAACACAACGCTTGGCTAATTTTTGTATTTTTAGTAGAGACAGGGTTTCACCATGTTGGTCAGGCTGGTCTTGAACTCCTGACCTCAGGTGATCCACTCGCCTCAGCCTCCCAAAGTGTTGGGATTACAGGCGTGAGCCGCGGCGCCCAGCCTTTCCATTGCCTGTTGCTTTCATGCCATCTAGTGTTTGGTCCAAAATCCCCACTGTGTCCAGGCCTTTTGGGAAGCCCAAACCAAGCCTCCCCATTCCCTGAGGACGTGGCACGATCTACTTATGGATCTCTACCCGATAGAGTAGTAAATACGTATTGAATGAAGGCATGGCTGAGTGAGCAGCGTAACTCACACAAAGACGTAACTCACTGTCCCTGGAGAGAGTTTGCTTAACTAAATGAATTGATAATCCCAAGATAACATAGCGGAGCTAATTTTGAGCAGGATTTCAAATTATGTTTATTTTCTCAAGAAATCTTCCAGGGAAGAGAGTCCCTGTTCTCAGCATCCAAATCTCACATGTTAGCTCCATCTCTCCCCCACCATTTGGAAGTGGCTCACCAATTCGCAAGTCTCAGGAAACAGGTTACTGCTTCGAGACAGAGGCTTTGGTATGGGAAGATGGGTAGGAAAATGTCCAAAACTGGAAATCATGTCTCCATGAGTGCAGGGAGCTCATGCATCGGGTTCAGTTCATAGAAACTTGAAATCCACGATCCAAGAGCCCTACTTTTTAGATTGAAGAGCTCATCTATCCTGGGTTGTAAGAATTCCTAGTTTATCCATAAACCAGGCAGTGAAACCTACATAAGAACCAATTGATATTCAAAACAGCAGAGGGCACACTGGCAGGCCAAACGTCAGAGCAGAACCTGCGTCCTGGCCTGCGGTCCTGCTGCTGGCCCTCAGCTGGGCTGATCCTCTTCCACATGCTTGAAGGTCTTTGTTCCATACAGATCTCAACTCTGGTGATTGTTCTGAACCCAGGCATAAATACCTGCAGGATTATGCCACTAATAGGCATTGCTGAAAGAAAGAGGGAACAAAAGAGAAAAGAAAAATACCTTTCTTTGTATTAAAATTTTGTCAAATGGCATTTTCTAATACTGTGTCCTTCAAGCATATCTCACCCATGGTGAAGATCTCCTGGGCTTGTAAATGCATTTTCTGTAGAAAAGGCAATCCGGCTGGGTGCAGTGGCTCACGCCTGTAATCCTATCACTTTGGGAGGCCGAGGCGGACAGATCACGAGGTCAAGAGATCAAGACCATCGTGGCCAACATGATGAAACCTCGTCTCTACTAACAATACAAAAATTAGCTGGGCATGTTGGTGCGCACCTGTAGTCCCAGCTACTCGGGAGGCTGAAGCAGGAGAATCGCTTGAACCTGGGAGATGGAGGTTGCAGTGAGATCACGCCACTGCACTTCAGCCTCGCAACAGAGCAAGACTACTTCTCAAAAAAAATAAAAAATAAAAAAAAATAAGGCAATCCATTCCATTTAAAGGGGGGTACGATGTGCTTTGTCACACTCAGATGTGGGTTTCTTGCCTTTCCTCTGTGCTCAGTGACGAGCCACTCATATGGCCTTGTATGCAACCCACGGTCCTTTCTCTAAGTACGTACGATTTTCACCCAAGAGCTCTTGGCAGAAGATGCATCAACTTGTTTGGTCATTTCCTGTGACATGTGTAAGAAGTCAACAGCATCAGACCATTTCATTCCAAATGAACCAGGAAGGATCTCAACACTGAGCTCTTTGACAAGGGAATTCAGGGGTGGAAATATTGGAGAACAAACAGCTCTGGGCTCCGGTAATAGCGCTGGTTTCCTTCTCCATAGCTCCAGCTTGGGCAGTTAGGATCACAGATGGCAGGAGAACGGGACCCTTCTGGGAGCTTTCTTAAATCGGATTCTAGAAAGAATATAGTCATTGCACAGGAAGTGCCTGCAAACAAACATCTTGGGTTCAAGAGCATGAGATTCTATTTACATCTTGGCCTGCTTCACAGGTAGGCAACACACCCATTTTTGGGTCTTTGAGTTAGGTAAAGAGCATCCTGTGGGGAAAAAAATAGAAAACGAGAGAGGTAAAGTGACTTACGCAGGATCACTTTACAACGCAATGCCAGGTTTTTCTGAAAGGACCTAATATTCCCCAAGCTCAAGATTTGGCAGCCCTCTGTCAGCTGGTAGTGAGGGGTCCGAGGGGCCAAGTATTGATCCATTCAATCATTTTCATGTGGAGAAAGGGGCATCTTCTGCACCAGGGACTGAGAATAAGCTGTGGAGAAGGCGAATTTGCTCTCTGCTCTTATAGAACTTTCATTGCAGATAAAGAATCAGACAATAAGGAAAAATCAGGATTGTGATCAATTCTAGGAAGGAGGTGCACAGGATGTGGAGAAACAGAGTTCCTGAGAGTGGTTGGGGAGGTGTCTCTGAGGAGGGGACATTCAGGACGCCATGAGGGAAGAAAGCACTGGAGCCAGCCATGCACAGTCTGGGCAAGAGAGCGTCAGGAACGACAGGTGGAGGAAGAGCCTGGAACATTCTAGAAACAATCCTAGTCTCAGAGAACCTGGAGCAAGGGCAGGGGTAGCAAAAGATGAGCCAGAGCTGATGGAGAGGCCAGACTGCACAGGACTCTGGAGAACAGGGTGGGAAATTTCATTTCACTCTGAGCACAAAGGGAAGCCAAGGAGGGTTTTAAAGCAGTGAGGCCATAATTTGATTTGAATTTTTATTATTTATTTATTTATTTATTTATTTATTTATTTATTTATTTATTTTTTGAGACAGGGTTTCTAAGTGCAGTGGTACAGTCATAGCTCACTGCAGCCTCCACCTCCTGGGCTTAAGTATTCCTCCCACTTCAGCCTCTGGAGTAGCTGGGACTACAGATGTTCACCATCGCATCCAGCTAATTTTTTTTTCCTTTTTTTTTTTGAGACGGAGTCTTGCTGTGTCGCCCAGGCTGGAGTGCAGTGGTGTGATCTCGGCTCACTGCAACCTCCATCTCCCGGGTTCAAGCGATTCTTCTACCTCAGCCTCCTGAGTAGCTGGGACTTCAGGTGTGCACCACCACGCCCGGCTAATTTTTTGTATTTTTAGTAGAGATGGGGTTTCACCATGTTGGCCAGGCTGGTCTTGAACTCCTGACCTCGGCCCACCTCTGCCCACCTTGGCCTCCCAAAGTGCTGGGATTACAGGCATGAGCCACTGTACCTGGCTGCATCCAGCTAATTTTTAATTTTTTTTAGAGATGGGATTTCACCACATTGCCCAGGCTGGTCACAAACTCCTGGCCTCAAGTGATCTGCCTTCCTTGACCTCCCAAAGTGCTGGGATTACAGGTGTGAGCCACCATGCCCAGCCTTGATTTGTACTTTTAAAAGATCACTCTGGATAGTGTGTGACAAACTGAGAGTTTGAGGGCAAGAATAGCAACAGGATGCTGAGTACGGTGGCTCATGCCTATAGTCCCAGCTACTCAGGGCCTAAGGTGGAGGGATTGCTTGAGCCCAGGAGTTTGAGGCTGCAGGAAGCTATGAGAGTGCCACTGCACACCAGTCTGGGAGACAGAGCAAGACCCTGTCTCAAAAACAAGAAAAAGGGTAGCAACAGGAACTTATTGCATCAGTGAGAGATAATGGATAATGGAGGCATGGGCCTGGTGGTGGCCATGGGGTGGAAGGAGTGGGTGAGGTCCGAATACGTTTTGGGCATGGAATTGGCAGGACATACAAATGGTGTGTGTTGGGGTGGGCAGGATGCTGGGAGGGAGGAATCAAAGATATTACCTAGAGTTTGACTTTAGTAACTCACTGGATGGAGAGAGGTACCATTTTTTGAGGGGGGAAGACAAGGGAGGAACAGGTTTGCAAGCTGGGAATGCAAAGAGTTCTTTTTTGCGTATTCTACCTAAATGGAGAGGTAAAGAAAGCTGTTCGGTATATCCATTTGGCCCTTAGAGGAATGATCTGGACTGAGGAGAAGAATTTGGGAACCATCAAAATGTAAATGGTATTTAAGGAAATAGGAGTGAACGAGACCACCAGGGAGGAGAGTGTAGCTAGAATTGTGGCAAGAAAGGAGATGCTGGCTCAGGGCTGAGCCCTGCAGCATTTCAGAATCGAAAGGTCTTGGCTGGGCACAGTGGCTCATGCTTATAATCCCAGCACTTTGGGAGGCTGAGGTGGGAGGATGGTTTGAGTTCAGGAGTTTGAGACCAGCCTGGGCAACAAAGGGAGACCACATCTCTACTTTAAAAAAAAAAAGAGCCATATTTAGTGACATGTGCCTGTTGTCCTAGCTACGAGACGCGAAGGCAGGAGGATTGCTTCAGCCCAGGTGTTTGAGGCTGCAGTGAGTCAAGCCATGATGATGACACGCGTTCCAGCCTGGGGGACAGAGTGAGATCCTGTCTCAAAACAAAAACAAAAACAAACAAACAAAATAAAAACAACAAAAAAATACAGGTCTTACAGGGGAAGAGAAGCCCAAGGGGTGATTAAGCAAGTATATTAATTTCCTATTGCGCTATAACACATCACCACTAACATGGTGCTTAAAATAACACACAGTTATTCTCTTACAGTTCTGGAGGTCAGCAGTTCAAAATCAGCCTCACTGGTTGAAACCTAGGTGTGGGCAGAGCTCCAGGAGAGAGCTGCTGCCTTGCTTTTCTCACTTCTGGAGCTGCCTTCCCTGGCTCATGGTCCTATTCTCCATCTCCACAGCCAGCAGCACAGCATCTTGCTTCAGTTGTAACATCACGTTTTCCTTTGGAAGTCAAATCCCCCTCAGCCTCCCTCTTATAAGGACTCATGGGTACATTAAGGGCTCATCCACTTAAACCAGGATAGTCTCCCCCCCTACCAAGATCCTCAACTTAATCACATCTGCAAAGTCTCTTTTGCCATATAAGGTAACATATTCACAGGGTCGTGGGATTAATATATGGCCATTGCTAAAGTTTAGGTATTTGCCCTCTCTAAATCTCATGTTGAAATTCGATCCCCAATGTTGGAGGTGGGGCCTGGTAGGAGGTGTTTGAATCATGGGGGTGGATCCCTCATGAACTGCATGGTGCCCTCCTCTTGGTAATGAATGACTTCTTGCTCTAGTGCATACTGCGAGACCATATTGTGAAAAAGAGCCTGGTACCTCCGCCCTCTTCCTTCCTCTGTCACCATGTGATGCCTGCTCCCTTTCATCTTCCACCGTGATTGGAAGCTTCCTGAAGCCCTCACCAGAAGCACATGCTGGAGCCTTGCTTCTTGTACAGCCTGCAGAACTAGGAGCAAAATAAACCTCTTTTCTCTATAAATTACCCAGCCTCAGGTATTCCTTTATAGCAACACAAAATGAACAAAGACAGATATCTTTGACAGGATCACCTACTGCAGCAAGGGCTGCCAATAAAGTAGGGGGAAAAAACCCAGACTAGAACTTCACAGAAGCTGAAAGAACAGTGTTTCAAGGAGAAAAGGGGCAGGGTGCAGTGACTCATGCCTGCAATCCCAGCACTTTTGGAGGCTGAGGTGGGAGGATCACTTGAGGCCAGAAGTTTAAGAACAGCCTGGGCAACATAGTGAGACCCGGTAGCTACAAAAAAAATTTTTTTTAATTCGTTGGGCATAGTGGTGCACTCCTGTAGTCCCAGCTACTCAGGAGACTGAGGTGGAGGATCTCTTAAGCCCAGGAGTTTGAGGTTACAATGAGCTATGATTGCACCACTGCTCTCCAGCCTGGGTGACAGAGCAGACCCTCTCTCTCTCTCTGTGTCTCTCTCTTTTTTTTTTTTTTTTAAAGGAGTAAAGGATCCTCTGCATTTAGAGCTACTGTGAAGCTAAGCAAGACAGGGGCAGAAAAATGTCCCTTGGCTCTGGCATGATAGAGACTTTTGGTGATCTGGGTAACTAGTCATTTCAATGGAGCAGTAGTGGAAACCAGGTGGCGAAGGGTGAATGCAGCTCTTTCTGGTCAAGATGCTGCGATTTTGTGTGTTAAACTCTCTCATCTGCTCCAGCTCACATCAGGATAGATAGAAGTGGCAGACAGGGCTCACCACGTCTTCCACAGCATAAACTTGTTGCTCTCAGTGGAGTTGTGTGGTTAATTATTTCCAATGGACTTGAGTAGAAGAAGTCAGCTACCAGGGAGGTTGGAAATGGCAGAGCAACAAGATGGAAAGAGCTAGGTCTTCCTTGAATGGCTGCTTGCAGGCAATTATCATTCTAGTGAGACTTGTACTTCCATTATGCTTCAGACAAATATTTTTTCATGTTTCTTTGCTAATAAAGTTAACTAGGACACAGAGCATTAAAGCAATTGTCTTCATCTGTTTTGTGTTGCTGTAACAGAATACCTGAGACTGGGTAATTTTGTAAAGAGAAGAGGTTTATTTGGCTCATGTTTCTGCAGACTGGGAAATTCAAGGGCATGGCCTGGCTTCTGGTGAAACTTTCAGTTTGCATCAGAACATGGTGGAGAAAGTCAAAGGGGAAGCATGCAAAGAACACATGCAAAGAAACACAACCTGAGGGGCATCGTGGCTTTACAACAACCCACTCTTGCAGGAACTAATCAATTTCTGCTGGAACCAATCCAGTCTCGCCAGAGCAAGAACTTGCTAGCATGAGAATGGCACCAAGTCATTCATGAGGGATCTGCCCCCATGACCCAAATACCCCTCACTAGGCTCCACCCTCCAATACCACCACATCAGGGGAGCGAATTTCAACATGAGTTTTGGTGGGGACAAATAAATCATATCCAAACCACAGCAGCAATATTACAAATATATAAATGATGACCCAAATATGATACATAAAAAATGCCTTTGTGATCTCAAACACACAGAGGTAGGTGGAACTAAGCCTGTGGACTCTAGGATCCAGGCTCTGAATCTGTCATTTAGCAGAAGTAGCCTGGAGTTCAATTCTTCAAATAACTGGAAGCTGTGATGTCTCTGGAGTGACCTGTCCTGCATCAAGCTGTGTCTTGGAGGTAGCACAGGGACCTGAGACAACATAGAGTGAACTGCTGGCTCAAGCCCCCTGTTACACTGGGTCTGCAATACTGCCAAAAACAAGAGAGCCTACATATAAGCCTTGTTTTGAACCAGAGAGCCTGCTGCTTTGGGTGAATGCAGTTAAGAATAAGCAGACGTGAGAACAGGTGGAGAAACACTCTCTCTCTCTCTCTCTCTCTCTCTCTTGCCCTCTCTCTCTCTCCTACTGAAGATGAGTCTGTATATTAAAATTCTAAAGCACAACAAACAAATATAATGAAAAGTAGCCAACAAACTGAACAAGTAGGAAAATTAATTCTTGAAGCACTTCAAATAATAGAGCAAAGCCTGAATTGAACTTAAATGAAGTATATTTGATTCCTCAGAGATAAAGGTGGTAATAACACCTATAAAGCAAGCATAAGAAATCATGAGCCAAAAAACAAGAGTCAAAAAGGCATGGGAAGTTGGGTGTGGTGGCAGACACCTGCGGTCCCAGCTACTCAGGAGGCTGAGGTGGGAGGGTCACTTGAGCACAGGAGTTGGAGTCCACCCTGGGCAACATAGTAAGACCCCATCTATAAAGAAAAAAAGGAAAAAAAAGGCATGGGAGCTCTGATTCCTCTGCCTGAGAGCACAGTGACCCCTGGCCCACTTGACCCTGATTTCTTGCTTCCATTGGTCTCTGCCTCTCCATCAGCAGAAGTGAAGAGGGAAGCCCAGAGTCCTGTACGCCCCTGGTAAGATCCCCACTCCCCTCTCCTCCTGCCCTCTCCACAGTTCTCATCTTCCCATTGCCAGCTCTGAAGCTCGCTATGCCTTTTATCCCCAGTGATCTTGATCCCCATGAAAAAGCCAGAGTCACACAGACTTCCTTTCTCCTCATCAGCAAGACAAATCCTCACTCTCTGTTCTCCTCCTCTGGGGTATTCTTTTCCACAGCACTTACCATTAACTGATGCACTCTATGTTTTAGTTAAATATTTTACTGAATTACTCATTTTATGTCAGGAGAACATATGCGTGTGTATTTTATTACTGCTGAGACCCCAGAACACAGAATAGTGTTTGGCATTTTGTAGATACATAATAAATATTGTTGAATGAATGAATCACAGAGATTTAAAAAATAATAATAATGAAGAACTCCTGTCCTAACTCCCAGATCCCAAATCCTGAATCCCGTGTCCCAAATCCCAATGATACACTACAGATAGGACAAATAGGGTTATTGAAATAATAATAAAAACATAGACTGGGTAAATCCATGGTGAAACTGCCTACAATTGAAGACAGAATTTATGAATTAGATTATACTACCAAGAAAATGACCCAGAACACAGCTCATAGACAATAACATTGAGAAGACAGGTTGATAGGCTCCACTATATGCTTAATAGGGGTTACAGAAGTAGAGAATAGCAGAGAATCAATAGTTAGAAGAATTTCACTGAACTGTGAAAGATGTGAACCTTTAAACCCTCAACCTGAAAATGCACACCAGGCATCTAGCAAGATAAATACAAATGAACCCATCTCTACACATGGAGAAACATTATAGCAGAACCGCAGAGTGTCAGGGATAGAGAGAAAAATCTAAGAAGCTACCAGGGAGAAAAGACAGGTTATTGTAAAAAGAATGTCAGGCTGCCCGTCGACTTCCATGAGCAACAAAGAGTACCAGAAATCAGTGCTGGGATAAAATAACTCATCAAAATATTAGGTCAAATAGCTGTGATTGGGAAATCTATATACAATTAAACCCTCTTTCAAGAATGGGGAATCTAACGAAGACATTTTCAGACATACACAGGCTTAGAGTTTATCACTCACAGCACTTTTCTGGAAGAATTGCTAATGAATCTATTTTCACAAGAAGCAAAGTAAGCCTGGAGTTAGGAGTGGAGCATATCAACGACTGGTAAACAACCATATCAGTGAAATGCGTTGGTAAAACTAATGAACTATTGATCATTCCTATTAAGAATAATTATTATTTTGTCTTAAGGCAAGAGTGGAGTGAGGAAGTGGTGATCACTTGCCAACGTAACTTTTTGAACAATTATCATGGCTGTTCCTAATGCTTCAGTGTTTCATGATCTTCCATCCTTTCATTCACCAGCCAGCAGGTATTCAGGGAGCATTGGTTCTGCAGATTCCATCCTAGACCCTGGGTACAGCCCAGAAGACCACTGACACATCCTCCCTCCCTCCCTCCCTCCCTCCCTCTCTTCCTCCTTTTTTCTTCTTTTCCTCCTTCCCTCCCTTCCTTTCTTCCTTTCTTCCTTCCTTCCTTCCTCCCTCCCTCCCTCCCACTCCCCCTTCCTTTCTTCCTTCCCAGGATTCTCATGCTCAATGGGATTCTCTCTGCCCTCTGCCCCTCTGCCAGGTGGATGAGAGGGTGGGAGGGCCCCGCAGGTCAGGTGTCAGTCTAGCTGTCTCCTCTTCCTTACAAAACAGGGCTCATCTGGGAAACATTAGTGAGGAGAGTTCACAGTGAAAACACAAGAAATTCCATTTTCTACTATCACCTTTACATCTCACAGCTTAGATCACCCGGGAGAAGGAGATTCTGTATTCTACAAATATAAAAGCGTGAGAAAGGATGGTGCTGGGTGTGGCGGCCCCACACCTGTAATCCCAACACTTTGGGAGGCCACAGTGGGCAAATCACTTGAGCCCGGGAGTTCAAAACCAGCCCTGACATCATAGCGAGTCCCCGTCTCTACAGGAAATTTAAAAATTAGCCAGGCATGGTGGCACACCTTGTAGTCCTAGCTACGTGGGAGGCTGAGATGGGAGAATAGCTTGAGCTTGGGAGGTCGAGGCTGCAGTGAGCCATGGTTGCACCATTCAAGATCTGGGGGCAGAATTCCTTTTAGGGGAGGAAATATTATTCAGCAAACATGTAAGAAACCATTTGGCCTTTTGGAATGTTAGCCCTCAGAATATGGCTGGATAGGTCAAAAGGGAGTTGCAGAGACATGTCTCTGAGAGCTCATGGGGGTATTTAGGAAGGAGAGAGAAGGAAGTCTAGCGAGAAAGAAGGGGCTCAGAAAAATGGCAGAATGCTGGAGGCCAAATCAAAAAGATCATCAATGGTGGGAGGAGCCGAGAGCTCTGCAGAGCCGGTGAGTCTAATATTCTAACCCAGATGATCTGCCAAACTGCGTTACAGGGTGAACTTCTGTCCTAACTCTTGAATTCCTAGCAAACTGTACTGTGCACAGTTATCTTATGTAAATGGTGTTTGTTACACATCAAGAAAAAGGGCTGTCTTTGTTCTCTGCCTTCTTTATAGAGCCCTCCGTATTTGACCTTCCTGGTTAGGAGAGAGGAAAGTCGAGGTACTTTGATCTGTATCAGGCACGCCCTTCTCTCATCCCATATTAATTTTTCCCACATCAGTTTTAAGAGCTTTGTGCTTATAGGAGGAAAGGCATATTCATTCAAATTGTCATTTTTTCAATATCACTTGCTCAGGAAGAGTTAAAGCTCCGTCAGTGAGTAGAAAATTATTAAGTTTTCTGATCTCCTAGTAGGATTGGCTAAAGAACTCCAGAGAGTGAGAAGGGCTTGGAATTTAGTCATGATTTTTTTCCATCAGGAAAAAGCCAGTTAGATACGAGGAGGGAGAGGGAAGCCGCTTGGTTCAAAGGAATTAAAATGAGAAATGAAGTTTCAGCTGAGTGTAATGAGGCTGCTGCTGAGGCTGGCCTCAGGGTGAGGCTGACTTGGCATTACATGGAGAATACCCAGGCAAGAGGGTCCGCAGCAGACTAGGGATGGAGGGTGCTGAACTCAATGGGGTCCCCAACACTAGGGACATCAAAAGCAGACTACAAAAGATGAGGGAGCTTGGTGTTCATTGGACAATAAATAACAAGAGAGGAGGAAACTACAAAAACTAATCTAGTTGTTAATTCTGTGTGGAATGCATCAATGCTGAAAAGATCCTTGCGGAGGGAGCAGGCGGGATGGTGACCAATGAGTAAATTAGGAAGGTTTTACTCAGGGGTTGCATCATGGTTCAAGCACTGAAACTCCCAGTGCTCTCTCTAGACCGTATTGGATTGGAGTGGAAAGTGGGGAAAGTGCTAGTGAGATTACATGCTTTGAGAATGTGAGAATGTGGAACCAAGGTGGGATAGAGCTGCTTTTTTTTTTTTTTTTTTTTTTTTTTGACAGTCTCCCTCTGTTGCCTAGGCTGGAGTGCAAATCTCAGCTCACTGCAACCTCCACCTCCCAGGTTCAAGCGATTCTCCTGCCTCAACCTCTCAAGTAGCTGGGATTACAGGCATGCACCAAGACACTTGGCTAATTATTGTATTTTTAGTAGAGATGGGGTTTCACCAGTTGGCCAGGCTGGTCTCGAACTCTTGACCTCAAGTGATCCACCTGCTTCGGCCTCCCAAAGTGCTGGGATTACAGGTGTGAGCCACTGTGCCTATGTTGAAAGCCTTACTATGTGGGGGGTCCTCTGAGGATGGGGTACACTGCCTTAAGTTCCTGGGAAGGGCAAAGGAAGCATGCCCCAATGCTTCTAAAGTCCTTCCCTCTGGGATTCCTGGCAGCCATGGAGTCAGGGACAATGACAAGAGGGGAGGAGAAGCCTGGCCGGGACCACCAATTTGTAGTACAGGGCAGGATAGATTCCACAATCATTAGGTGCAAGAAAATGTACCTAGCTTTATTATTAAAAATTAGATTGAGATTTAGCTCTAAATCTCACTTAGCATAATTTTGAGTAATTTAATCTCAATCATGTTCTGGGGGATGGAGGTGTCGGAGTCGAGGTGAGGGGAGGAAGGGCTACCATCTCATAAAATCACTTAAGAGTTCTTGGGGGTTAAGACATACACATTTCAGAAAATTTGAAGGGGGACTGTATTAGTGTCCTGTGGCTGCTATAGCAAATTAATACCAGCTTGGTGGCTTAAGACAGCAAATATGTATTCTCTCACTGTCCTTGTGGCCAGAAGTCATACATCAAGGTGTCAGCAGGACTCCACTCTCTCCGAAGCCTCTAGGGCAGACTTCTTCCTTGCATCTTCTAGCTTCTGATGGTTGTTGGCATTCCTTGACATTCCTTGGCTTGTATCCTTCCGGTCTCTTTCTTCATATTCACCTTCTCTGTGTCTACTTTTTTTCTGTCTGTCTTCTCTTCTTTTCTCTTATGAGGATACTTGCGATGGAATTTAGGGCTCACCAAGAGAATCTACATTTATCCCTCATCTCAAGGTCCTCAACCACATCGGCAAAGACCCTTTTTTCCAATAAGGTAACATGCAAAAGTTCCAGGGGGCTGACGTGGATGTCTCTCTGGAACCCATATTTTGGGCTCCCACAAGGACCTTCTGGTTTTAGTCTGCTTTTGCACTGCTGAGATGCAGCCTTTTCCCAAAGCATATGGTCCTTTTCAAAGCTAGGCCACAGAGGTCTTTTAAGGAGGATTCCAATCTTGGCATTTAGTATCCTATTGCTCTAGATCTCTGTTATTTAAGAAAACTCCATTCCCTCTCGGCCTCTTGATTCCCAAAGAAGATCTTTCTGTGGGGCCTGGATGTCTTCATGCAAGCCGATGCTCCATTCTCCATCCACTTTAATCCTCCCAAAGGACTAGATTCCCAAACAGAGAGACTCTTGTCTGGCCATGGAGGCACAACCTAGAGGGCTTGTGTGGGTTACTGGGGTCAGCCAAGAAGGATGTAAGCTAAGAGGATGATAGAGAAAGACTGGGCTGCAGAAAGTCTAACACATACAGCAGTAACGTGTTGGCTTATTGATCCTTGAAGGTGCTGGAACACAAGCCAGCATTGCCAGTAATTACTCAGTGCTATGGTTTACATGTTGTGGGCTTCAAAACTCATGTTTGAAATTTAATCCCCAATGTGGCAGTATTGAGAGTTGGCGCCATTAGCACGTGACTGGGTTCTGAGGGACCTGCCCTCATGAGTGGATTAATCCATTCATGGATTGATGGGTTAATGGATTAGTGCGTTATCACAGGAGGGAATCTGTGGTTTTATAAGAACAGGAAGAGAGGCCTGAGCTAGGTCTGAGCTAGTACACTCAGCCCCCTAACTATATGACACCCTGTGCCACTTTGGGACCCTGTAGAGAGTCCCCATCAGCAAGAAGGCCCCTACCATTTGTGGCGTCTTGACCTTGGACTTCCCATCCTCCAAGAAATTTATTCCTTACAGTTATGGAGGCTGAGAAGTCCAAAGTCGAGTGGCCACATATGTGAGAGCCTTCTTGCTGGTGGGGACTCTCTGCAGCATCCCTAGGTGGTGCAGGGTGTCACATGGTGAGGGGACTGAGTGTGCTAGTGTGCTAACTCAGGTCTCTCTTCCTCTTCTTACTAAAGCCACTAGTCTCACTCCCATGATAACCATTAACCCATTAACCCATTAATTCATGCATAGATCAATCCATCTAATGAGGGCAGAGCCCTCATGACTCAATCACCTTTTAAAGGCCCTCCCTCTCAATATTGCTGCATTGGGGATGAAACCATAGCAAACTTATGTGAGTTTTATATTTTATTTTGTTTGGTTTTGGTTTTGGTCTTGCTCCGTTGCCCAGGCTGGAGTGCAGTAGTGTGATCATAGCCCACTGCAGCCTCATACTCCTGGGCTCAGGTGATCCTCCTGCCTCTGCCACCATGCCCAGCTAATTTTTAAAAAATATTTTATAGAGGCCAGGCGCAGTGGCTCATGCCTGTAATCCCAGCACTTTGGGAGGCCGAGGTGAGTGGATCACCTGAGGTCAGGAGATCGAGAGCAGCCTGGCCAGCATGGTGAAACCCTGTCTCTACTAAAAATATAAAAATTAGCCAGATTTGGTGGCACATGCCTGTAATCCCAGCTACTTGGGAGGCTGAGGCAAGACAATTAATTGAACCCGGGAGGCAGGGTTGCAGTGAGCCAAGATTACACCACTGCACTCCAAACTGGGCAACAGAGTGAGACTCCATCTCAAAAAAAAAAAAAAAAAAAAAAGAACTTACATTGACTATCAGTAGTGGTTTACCCTTGCTCAGAGGTGGAAAGGTGGTTATTTTTATTTTTCTTCTTTCTCTATTTTCCACATTTTCTAAAATAGACATATATATTTCTAAACATTTCTAAAATAATTTTTTTTTTTTGATACGGAGTCTCACTGTTGCCCAGGCCAAAGTGCGGTGGCGTGATCTTGTCTCACTGCATCCTCCGCCTCCCGGGCTCAAGTGACTCTCCTGCCTTAGCCTCCTGAGTAGCTGGTATTACAGGCGCCTGTCACTACGCCCGGTTAATTTTTGTATTTTTAGTGGAGACAGGGTTTCACCATGTTGGCCAGGCTGCTCTCAAACTCATGACCTCAGGTGTATCACTTGCCTTGACCTCCTAAAGTGCTGGGATTACAGGCATGAGCCACCATGCCTAGCCTATAATAGCAAAGAAGACAATTAAGCTGCTGTCTTCTCTGGGGTGGTTCCCATTCCCTCTCAGGTGCTATAAAGGTGGAGTGATTTGGGTAAACCCACTTCCTGGGTTTAGATGTTGACTGCTCAAGTTGCACAGAGTCATGCGTGACTCCGTGAGTTCCGACTGAATCTTCTCTCACCCCTCACTTCCAATCCATTTGCAAATCCTGTTGTCTCTACATTAAAAAATATTATTAATCCAATCTCTTCTTACCTTTCTACTGCTAGTAATTTAGGCATGGCTTAAAATTTTTTCTTTTTACAGAGATGGGGCCTTGCTATGTTGCTCGGACTCGTCTTGAACTCCTGGCCTCAAGCAATCTTCCTATCTCAGATATCATTTTTTTAAAATGAGGCCCTTCGTATGAATGTATATTTGCCAAAGTCAGAAAGAACTTACCCCGCACAACAGTCTCCTAACTGGTCTGTCTGCTTCTCCCCTCGCCTTCTGATTTCATTACCCTTGGAAATCAGCTTATTTCACTCTCATGCTCAAAGCTCTCCAATGGTCTTCACCAAGATCAACCAGGCCCTGCATACTCTGGCCAGCTCCCGTGTCCACTTGAACTTGATCTCCTCCTCATTGTCTCCTGCCCCCAGCACTCTGGCCTCCTTGTTCTTCCTCAGAAGCCCCAAGGATGCTCCTGTCTTTGCACTGCCTTTTTCTGCCTAGAAACATTTTCCTCCAGCTACCCACATGGCTCTGCCTCTTTTATCCTTTAGGGTTATATGTGCTCCTATGTCATCTTATAGAGGAAGTTGTCCCTTACCACCCCATACCAAACAGGACCTCCAATCTCTGTCTTTTTACTTTGCTCTTATTTTCTTCAGAACACTTCTCTCTTCTGTGCCTAGAACAGTGCTTGGCACATGGCACCCAATACAATCTTGTTGATTGACTAAATGAATAGTGTAATTAACATATACTCATTACTAACGCTAAAATTGATCCAAGTTATGTTTTGGTTTTCTTCAGAGAAATACCAGAATGTTACTATCTTCTACCAGAGAAAACAGGGAAATGAGGTAGTTACTGAGTCATTCCGTCCCAGGCATAACTTCTACCTGAATGACCTAGAAAATTGAGATCAAACTATATTTTGACCCAAATATAACAAGAACTGCTTCAATTTCCTCATTTTGTCAGTGGCAGCCACGCCCTAGTTTGCTGAGATAAATTAGATTTAGCTGAATGCAGTCATGGATTGCTAGCCTACCTAATGATAAGTAAATGAAATTTCTATTTAATCTCTTTTTAAAATGAGACCTTAGATTTACACTCCTAGTTCTTTATGCACTTCACATACCTCTATGTGCACTCAATTTTTCATCTCTTTGTGCACTTTGATTTTAAGGCTTAAGTAATCCTGTTTATAGAATAAATGTTTCGTCTAAATATCAGAAGAGCTACTGGTTCTTTGTTTATTTCTTGAATTTGTGCCCTAAGGCCTAACTCTTTCCAATTGTGAGCATATTTTCCTCAACTGTATTTGAAAAGGGGGATTTTCCTTTCCTTCTGTCACTTTCTCAGTGAGTCACCTCCTGAGAAGTGGCTACTTCTTTCCACCTCATTCTTTGTTCCTTTAGTCCAAGACAAAAATATAAAATAACACATAAAAAACTAACTGGGCTGGGCGCGGTGGCTCACACCTGTAATCCCAGCGCTTTGGGAGGCCGAGGTGGGCGGATCATAAGGTCAGGAGTTCGAGACCAGCCTGGCCAACATGATGAAACCCTGTCTCTACTAAAAATAGAAAAATTAGCTGGGCATGGTGGTGTGTGCCTATAATCCCAGCTACTCAAGAGGCTGAGGCAGGAGAATCACTCCAACCCGGGAGGCAGAGGTTGTAGTGAGCCGAGATCATGCTGCTGCACTCCAGCCTGAGCCACAGAACGAGACTCCGTCTCAAACAAACAAACAAACAAACAAACAAACAAACAAAAAAACTAACTGGAGAGATATTCTGTGTTCATAGATTGGAAGACTCAATATTGTGAAGATGTCAGTCCTTCCCAGCTTCATCTATAGATTCCTTGCAATCCTAATCAAAATTCTACAAGTTGTTTTGTGGATAACACCAAACTGATCATAAAATGTATACAGAAGGCAGAACACCAATAATAACAACACAATCCTAAAAAAGAAGACAAAGTTAGAGGGCTGACACTATCTGACTTCAAGGCTTATTACAAAACTACAGTAATTGGGGCAGTGTGCTATGGTGAAAGAATAGACAAGTAGATCAATGGAACAGAAAAGAGAGCTCAGAAATAGACCCACACAAACAGTCCACTAATCTTTAACAAACGAGCAGAGGTAGTTCAATGCAGAAGGGACAGTCTTTTCAACAGATGGTGCTGGAACAACTGCACATCCACAGGCAAAACAAAAGCAAAAACAAAACTAAACGCAGACCTTACAACTTTTGCACAAATCAGCTGAGAATATCATATGTAGACCTATATGCAAAATGTAAAACAAAAAAAGTTTGAGAAGAAGAAAACATAAGAGAAAATCTAGTGACTCTGGGTTTGGCAGTGACTTTTGAGGTACACCAAAAATGTGATCCGTGAAAGAAAAAAATTGGTAAGTTGGACTTAGTTAAAATTAAAAACTTCCTCTCTGAAAAAGATGCTATTAAGAGGATGGAAAGGCAAGCTACAGACTGAGAGATTGTATTTGCCAAACACATATCTGATAAATGACTGGTATCCAAAATGTACCAAACAACGCTTAAAACTGAATTTTAAGAAAACAACTTAACTAAAAAAATCAGCAAAACATCTGAACAGACACCTCATAAAAGAAGAGATAAAGATGGGTGGGTGCAGTGGCTCATGCCTGTAATACCAGCACTTTGGGAGGCCAAGGTGGGGGGATCACCTGAGGTCAGGAGTTTGAGACCAGCCTGGCCAACATGGTGAAACCCCGTCTCTACTGAAAATACAAATATTAGCCAGGTGTGATGGCATCCGCCAGTAATCCCAGAAACTCGGGAGGCTGAGGCAGGAGAATTGCTTGGACCTGGGAGGCGGAGGTTGCAGTGAGCTGAGATTGTGCCACTGCACTCCAGCCTGGGCAACAGAGCAAGACTCTGTCTCAGAAAAAAAAAAAAAAGAAGAAAGTCATGCACAGAGAGGGAAGAAGGCCAGCCACCTGAGGGTGGCGGCAGAGTGTGGAGTTATGGGACTAGACGCCAAGGCACGCCTGGGGCTACCAGAAGCTGTAAAGGGCAAGGAAGGATCTTCCCCTAGAGGGTTCAGAGAGCATAGCCCTACTGACACCTTGATTTTGGACTTCTGGCCTCCAGAACTGTGAGAGAATAAATTTCTTGTTTCAAGCCATTCCAGTTTGTGGTACTTTTTTCCTGCAGGCCTAGGAAACAGATACACCTGGATACCATGTGATGACAATGGCACTTTGTCTCTGTGCTCTTCCCTTCAAAAACCCATCACTCCAGTCTAATCATGATTAAAAACAGCAGGCAAATTACAATACAAGGCATCCTACAAAACACCTGACCAGTACTCCTCAAAGCTGTCAAGATTGGCTGGGCACAGTGACTCTCACCTGTAATCCCAGCACTTTGGGAGGCCAAGGTGGGAGGAACACTTGAGCCCAGAAGTTCAAGACCAGCTTGGGCAACATAGTGAGACACTGTCTCTACAAATAATTAGAAAATTAGCTGAGTGTGGTAGTGCACGCCTGTGGTCCCAGCTGCTTAGGAGGCTGAGGTGGGAGGTTCGATTGAGCCTGGGAGGTTGAGGCTGCAGTGAGCTATGATTGCACATTGCACTCCAGCCTGGGTGACAGAGCAGGACCCCGTCTCAATTAAAAAAAAAAAAAAAAAAAGGCCAAGCACCGTGGCTCACGCCTGTATTCCCAGCACTTTGGGAGGCCGAGTCAGGTGGATCACGAGGTCAGGAGTTCAAGACCAGCCTGGCCAATATGGTGAAACTTCATCTCTACTAAAAATACAGAAATTAGCCGGGCATGGTGGTGCACGCTTGTAGTCCCAGCTACTAGGAAGGCTGAGGCAGGAGAATCGTTTGAACCCAGGAGGCGGAGGTTGCAGTGAGCAGAGATCATGCCACTGCACTACAGCCTGGGCGACAGAGCGAGGCTCCGTCTCAAAAAAAGAAAAAAATAATAAAACACACACACACACACAGACACACACACAAATCTTGCAAGGCCATCAAAAACAAGGGAAGTCTGAGAAACTGTCACAACTAAGACGAGCCTAAGGAGACATGACAGCTAAATGTAATGTGGACTCCTGGATGGGATATTGAAACAGAAAAAGGTATACAGTAAGGATATCTGACTAAACTGTGGACTTTAGCTAATACTGATGCATCAATATTGGTTCATTAATTCTAACAAATGTACCCTACTAGTGTAAGATGTTGATAATAGGGGAAACTGCGGGTGGGGTATACAGGAATGCTCTGTACCATCTTCTCAATTTTGCTGTAAACCTGGAAGTGTTCAGATTAAAAGTCTTTAAAAATGAACATAAAAATAAAAAGAAAATAAACGAACACAAGGTAGCCTGCCGCTTTAACTCACAGTCAACCCTCTTTGCTTTCATGAGAGCAGTCTGGTTTTTACCCTCCCGTTGTCAACACCCTCTCCTGTCCCTGTTTCCATGAAGATTGGTTTCTGTTTAGTATTCCCCACTTCTCTTCCCATCAGCAATCTCGGTACAAAATCACTTGCCATGGTCCGTTTCCCAAAGTCCCAGGTTTTGTCAGGAATGTTGAGGGTGGGCTTTGGAGCTCTTCATCCCTTCTCATCTTCATCTCAAGTTTTCTTCAATATGTATTCAGAATAAATTGTTTCTGAGAATAATTGTATGTCCTTCGGAGAGATGAGAGAAAGGATATTTGCAACACAAATAACCAACAAAGATCACTCAAGAATAATAAAGAGTTTCTACATATCACTAGAAAAAAGACAACTCAATATAGAAAAATGAGCAAAAACCAGATAAATGCATTTCACAGAAGAGGAACCACATATGGCCAATAAATATACAAAAAGACATTAAACCACAGGAGACTGTACAGCATCTGCACAATTGAAGACCATTTTATACCCATGCGATTATTAAATGAAGTCTGCCAATACCAAGTATTAGAGATCAAATGATCAGTGGGATCTCCTACATATTACCAATGAGAAACTAAAGTAGCACAATCGCTTTGGAAAATAATTTGGTAGTATTCTGTCTAATTGAATATTTGCCTATTTGATATTCTACTTCTAGGTAAATATCCAAGAGACTCTTTAGCACATGTGCACCAAGATAATATACAAGAATGTTCACAGAATTCTTGTTCTATACAGGGAAGAATGGAAAAAAAATGTCCTTTGACAAGAGAATAGACAAATAAATTATGGTATATCTACACAACGGGAAAGTAACTCCAGCCACGTTCAATAACTTGGATGAATTTTAGCCATGAAATGTTAAGTAACAAGCAAAATTAAGCAATATATTGGTTAGACATACGTATGTACAGGATAAACCAAAACCAAAACCAAAAAAGGATCAGAATGATAAACACAAAATTCAAAGTATTAACTCCCTTCAAGAGGCAAGCAGGGATAGGCCAGCTGTGATGGCTCATGCCTGTAATCCCAACACTTCGGGAGGCTGAGGCCGGCAGGTCATCAGGTCGGGAGTTCGAGACCAGCCTGGCCAACATGGTGAAACCCCATCTCTACTAAAAATACAAAAATTAGCTGGCGTGGTGGTGGGTGCCTGTAATCCCAGCTACTCGGGGGGCTGAGGCAGAAGAATCATTTGAACCCGGGAGGCGGAGGTTGCGGTGAGCCGAGGTCGCACCATTGCCCTCCAGCCTGGGCAACAGAGCGAGACTCCATCTCAAAAAAAAAAAAAAAAAAAAAAAAAAGGCAAGCAGGGACATGGGATAGTGGTGAGCACGTAGGGAGACGTATATCCGTGGTAAATTTTTAATTCTTGAGTGAGGCTGGCTTAGCAGCGTTTGTTATGCAATAAAAATAAATAATGAAAGTAAAAGACGGGCTACGTAAGGACTGATCGTGATTATGTGTCACGAACCGAGGACTATGCCTGGTACAGTGCCTCGCATTTAAGGCCCAAAATTAAACAAAACAAAAAGCTCAGTTGATAACTATCTTGGTATATTCCTGCTGCTATGACAAAAGACCACAGACTGGGTCATTTATACAAATGTCACAATATAAATTTATTTTTTCACAATTCTGGAGGCTGTGAAGTCCAAGATCAAGGTGCCAGCGGGTTTGGTGTCTGGTGAGGGCTTCTTCTCCACTTCCAAGATGGTGTCTCTTGCTGCATCTTCAGATGGCAAAAGGGGTGACGGGGACTGTGGTGCTTCCTTCAACCTCTTTGACAAGGGCACTAATCCCACTAGTCACGGGGATGACTTAATCACCTCCTAAAGGCCCCACCTCTTAATACTACTATCACACTGGTGATTACGTTTCAACATAGGAATTTTGGGGGACACATTCAGGCCATAGCAATAACTTTTATGGAAAGAAAGACAAAATGTTTGGCTGATCATGGGACTAAGGAGTTGCATTTGTCCAGACAGAGAGCTGGGTGACACATTCCAAGTGGAGGCTTTTCCTTGGAGTTTTTCCCTTGGAAGTCGTGGACTCCCCTTTACCCACCTCTGCAGTCCTGTGCCCGCTCCCTTCTCTGTCTCAGCTTCCTGATGCTGGTGGGGGTAGCTCTCCTGGCCCATTGCCTGTCCTCAGTGCCCGCTGTTCACGTAATCACACATTCCTCATATTTTAATTCATTTCCTTGTAGCCACTTACTTTTAAATTCATTTACCATTTTTGTTTTGCCTCAGAAGTTTACTAACTGCTGCAATTAATTAATTAATTAGTTAATTTTTGAGACAGAGTTACCCAGGCTTGAGTGCAGTGACACAATCACAGCTCACTGCAGCCTCAACCTCCTGGGATCAAGTGATCCTCCCACCTCAGCCTCCCTAGTAGCTGGGACTACAGGTATGTGCCCCCACACTCAGCTAATTTTTAAATTTTTTGTCGAGATACAGTCTCACTATGTTGCCAGGTTGGTCTCAAACTCCTGGGCTCAAGTGATCCTCCCACCTCAGCTTCCCAAAGTGCTGGGATTATAGGCATGAGCCACCACGCCCAGCCGCTTGCTGCAATCTAAGAAGTGAACCACAGGCTGGGAGCGGTGGCTCACGCCTGTAATCCCAGCACTTTGGGAGGCTGAGGCAGGCGGATCACGAGGTCAGGAGATCGATACCATCCTGGCTAACACGGTGAAACCCCGTCTCTACTAAAAATACAAAAAATTAGCCGGGCGAGGTGGCGGGCGCCTGTAGTCCCAGCTGCTGGGGAGGCTGAGGCAGGAGAATGGCGTGAACCCAGGAGGCGGAGCCTGCAGTGAGCAGAGATCACGCCACTGCACTCCAGCCTGGGCGAGAGCGAGACTCCGTCTCAAAAAAAAAAAAAAAAAAAAAAAAAAAAAAAAAAGAAGTGAACCACAATAAAGCAAAGCCGACGGAGACAAGAGGGCAAGGAATTGAGCCTGCTGGAAAAACTTGTTCAATTTCATCCACTGGTAAGACTTGATCGTTTCCATCACCCATTGTTTCTCCCCTTTGTGCCTTTAGGTAGGAGAATGTCTGATGTAAGCCACAAAATTTTACTCACAAATCGCACATCAGAAGTCTGGAGATTGGCAGTCCCAGAGGTGGTTCATGTACTGTTTCCACGGCGTCAGGGCCCGCGATCGGCTGCTCTTGGCTTTCCTTTTTCTGGTGCCAGCTCTGTGCAGCTGCAGCACATAGCACCAAGTCCTCACAAGACAACGTCCAAGCTAGGAGGCGGGGAGAGCTCTCTCCTTCTATCACGGAGGAGTATCTTTCCCCAAGTGTTCTGGATCTCTGTTGAATCACATGCCTGCCTCAAAGGAGCAAAGAAGGAATGAGATTTCCGTGATTCATTTAGCTCAACCGTGATTCATTCCTGGGCGCCGGACATAAAGCCAGATGCGACATGAACACAACTGGCCTTGAAAGAGGTGTAGAATGGCTGTGGGGAAAGCAAACCATGGCCTCTGTCACCCATTTGCTCTCTGGGTACTTCAGAATTGGCATTCAAATGATAATACCAGTGCTCTATATCTCACAGCACTTCACAGTTTGCAGAGCGTTCATGCACAGTGTTTCATTCGATTCTCACCACCACCATGTGAGATGCAAGAACAGCTGTTCTTCTCCTTCTTTGGTAGAGAGGGAGACTGAGGACTGCAGGCAGTGAGTGATTCATCCAAGGTTTTGCAGCTTCTCAGAGCCGGAAATAGAACAAGGGCTTCCGACAAGGACGTCCAATATCTTTTCTACAATTCCTTTCAATGAGCACATGTGGGATAACACTGGCAGCTCATAGATGTAGTTGCCCTGTAAGTTCTGTGTGAATTTCCTCCATGGGATGATGCCCTGTGTGCTCCCAATAGATGTAGAGCGATGGGCGCTGTGTGGCTCAGCAGAGGCAGCTGCGGAGGAGTGAGTGGTGAAGCATTTTTACACAGACACGTCTTGTGCAAACTAAGCAATGCCTGGACAGAGGATGATGTCCTGTGATGAAGCAGCAGATGGAGGCTGCAGATGTGTGAAGGTTGCGTTCGGCCCACATGGAATCCAAGAGCTCCACAAGGCATCTCGGCTGTCCAACTTCCTGTCAGAATTGGCACTGAGACGAGCTCCAGCTCCTAGCTTACTCTTAATTTAAACCAAATAAGAGAGAGGAGATGACTTGAAGGAAGCATCTGGGTACAAGGACACCAGAGGAAAGCAGGAGATGGAAGGCAGCGAGAGTTCCCAGGATTTACAAACGGATCCTCTTGTCATTGCTTGCCATCTGGTCCCGTGCCTGGTCCCCACCCCTCACAGTCAGCTGGAAAGCTGTCTGATAATGCGCTCGGGTGGGCTTCGCTAGCAGCAGTCTATGTTGGAAAGTAGTTTCCTTTCTGGAAAGTAGTTTGGAAACATATATTATGATGCATGAAAGTGTAAGACCACTTCAACCATGGACCCCATCCTTGAGATTTCAATTAAGGAAATAACTAAAATAAAGGAAATAGCTAAAATGAAGGAAGCCAGTCATGGTGGCTCACATCTGTAATCCCAGCATTTTGGGAGGCCGAGGCTGGTGGATCACTTGAGGTCAGGAGTTTGAGACCAGCCTGGCAAACATGGAGAAACCAGCTCTACTAAAAATACAAAAACTAGCCTGATGTGGTGGTGGGCGCCTGTAATCCCAGCTACTCGGGAGGCTGAAGCACGAGAATCACTTGAACCCAGGAGGCAGAGGCTGCAGTGAGCCGAGATTGCACCACTGTGCTCCAGCCTGGGCAGCAGGGAGAGACTCCATCTCAAAAAATAAAATAAAATAATAAAATAAAGTAAAATGAAGGAAAAAATCTGTATGTACGGTGATGGCTATTATTTTGTTGTACATATGCAAGTGAAGAGTTGGAAGCAAACTAAACCTTCAACAGCAGTAACCCTGTGGTCTACTTAATGGAATCTAAGCCATTGTTAACAAGTAGAATTATGAAGATGATGCATTCAACAAATATTTATTGAATGCTTCTAATATGCCAAGCGCTGTATTGAAGAATGAAACAGTAAACAAAGCAGCCCAAATTCCTACTTTCTCCCAGTTTATGCTCTAGTGTGAATGGCAAAGGAGAGCTGCTGCGACAAGAAAAGAGGTGAAGATCAGAATTAAGTGAAAAACGCAGAGGAGAAAAACTACACCTATCACGTGACTCTTTCCATGCAATGCGTTCAATTCCACAGACAAGGGTTGAAAGGAAACAAGAACGAATAAAGACAGGCAGCTGATGGAGTGATGTGGCTCTGAACCAGTTTCTTTCCTTTACTGTTTTTCCAATGTCTTTAGTGCAATATTTAAAAAAAATCAAAATGAGAAAAATCATCTGATATTTTTAGCATGCACTTTCCTGTTCCAAAAAGAGATATATTTATCCAACTTCGTGGAAGCCCAAGAAAAAATATAATAAAAACATGTTTGTGGAAAGAAGGGAAGCCTGGGTGCAGTGGCTCATGTCTGTAATCCCAGCACTTTTGGAGGCTGAGGTGAGAGTAGTTCGCTTGAGTCCAGGAGTTCGAGACCAGCCTGGGCAACACAGTGAGATCCCACCTGTACAAAACATTAAAAAATTAGCCAGGTGTGGGAATAGGGGTCGGCGTCGGCGGCCTGTGCAGCAATGGCCAAGATCAAAGCTCGAGATCTTCACGGGAAGAAGAAGGAGGAGCTGCGGAAACAGCTGGATGACCTGAAGGTGGAGCTGTCCCAGCTGCGCGTCGCCAAAGTGACAGGCGGTGCGGCCTCCAAGCTCTCTAAGATCCGAGTCGTCCACAAATCCATTGCCCATTTTCTCACAGTTATTAACCAGACTCAGAAAGAAAACCTCAGGAAATTCTACAAGGGCAAGAAGTACAAGCCCCTGGACCTGCGGCCTAAGAAGACACGCGCCACGCGCCACCGGCTCAACAAGCGCGAGGAGCACCTGAAGACCAAGAAGCAGCAGTGGAAGGAGCGGCTGTGCCTGCTGCGGAAGTACGCGGTCAAGGCCTGAGGAGCACGTTGTCAATAAAGCACAGCTGGCTGAGAAAAAAAAAATTAGCCGGGTGTGGTGGTGCATGCCTGTGGTCCTAGCTTCTTGGGAGGCTGAGGTGGGAGGACAGCTTGAGCCCAGTAGGTGGAGGCTATAGTGAGCTGTGGTCATCTCACTGCACTCCAACCTGGATGACAGAATGATACCCTGTCCCCCATCCCCAGAAAAAAGGAAGAAGGGAGGAAGGAAGGGAAAGAGAAGGGAAGGGAGGGAAATGGATAGATGTAGCTTTTGTGTTTATTTTGGGCTGTAATCTGAGCCCTTTTGTCTGCATACTTATCTCTGTAGGTTCCAAGCCCATGAGAACGAAATGAAAGGTTTAAATGTTATCCTGGTTTGTTTTTGTAAATGATTCCCTGTTTATTGTCACCACCATAGTTCACTTGAGATCCAGTAAAGGTAAATTCTCTAAACAACTACAAAAACACCAAGTATCTGGGGACTACCTGCAGCCAAATTCTATTATAACCTCTGAATTCTAACTCTAACAATGTAAACTGTTTTTCTCATAAGTGCCTGCTGTCTAAGTCCCAACCACCCATCCACCTAGACGCAGCTGGCTCTATGTAGACTACTGTTGTTACAGGATGACTGTGATGTGTATTTCTTTTAAAATATTTTCTTTTCTTGTTTTCTAGATCCAGTGGGCAGAGTCCGGGGCACTTTTGGTAAAGAGGTGAGATTATGAAGCTCTTTTTTGCTGCTCCCTGTATTTTCCACCATCTGCTCCCATATTCCTGCTACTTAGAGTCCACCTGCTGCTTCAGCCATGTCATTTGTCTTCAGGTCCTGCCCTGAGCTCCTCTGTGGCATTGCCCTGCACTGAACAGCTGTTGTTTTAGGACAGGCTGCATTTCTGTGAGTACAAGATGGTCTTTGCAGGTGGCTGGTACATGAATTTTAAGCTTGTTGAGTGCTTTGAGATATGAAGCTAAAAATACATGTGGGAGGTGTGTGTATGTGTGTGTGTGTGTGTGTGTGTGTGTTTGAGAGAGAGATTATTCTTTGTACAAAGAAAAAGTGACAAGGGGTTATATGCCGCTGATGTTCCTGCATCATCATCATCAAATACTGTTTATTAAGCTTCCTCCACATCGCTGATGTTAAGGGCTTGCAGATTCTCTTGGGTTTCTCTTTTCTTCCTCTCCCTGTACTCAGCCTCCAACATCATTCTACCCTCCCAGCTCTTACCTTAGCAGTTTTGTACTAGTTTCTGTACTAAGACTTGACTACTCAATGTTATGAAGAAGAACAGGAATGCTGTGGCCAAAGAGGGATGGCCCAATGTGCAAAAGCACACACCCTCACACCTTCTCAAAGAACAGGACAGAACATTCCTTAGCCTCTCTAAGGAAGCCCTGAAATGATGTATCATCCTTTCCCATGGGGAGGATATTAAATACAAGTAGAGGGTTTCTGCTTCCAAAAATGTGTTGAAGACTCCTTCCAATAAAGCCTTGTGTTGGAAGTAGAGATGCAGCACCAGATCCCCTGTTGCAGGAGGATTTGTGGCCTCACCTGCTGGAAGTGTGTATGCAGACAGGAAGGCCACATCCAGTGACTAATCACAGCAGGGATATAAAAGCTGGGCCAGTTTGGACCAACATGGGACAGACAACATGGACCGTGTTAGTTCCAGAACTCCTTATGGGTCATCTGAGTTTGTCACTAACCCTACATCAATCTCAACTTCTCCCTCTGCCCAATCCTGCTTCTGTTTCCTTCCTGACACAGCTGTTGACCCAAGGGCCCTCCATAATAAATACTTATCCTGCCTACTATCCACCTCGCTGTCTGCTTACTGGAGAACGCAATCTGCAATGGTTGGTCCTGGAAGTGATTTGAGAAAGAGAAGATGACTCGGTATGGTGGCTCACACCTGTAATCACAGCACTTTGGGAGGCGAAGTTGGGAAGATCACTTGAAGCCAGGAGTTTAAGAACAGCCTGGCCAACACAGTGAGACCCTGTAACGATTACATTTTTTTTCAATGAGTTGGGCATGGTGGTGCACTCCTTAAGTCCCAAATACTCGGGAGGCTAAGGCAGAAGGATCTCTGGAACCCAGGTGTTTGAGGCTGCAGTGAGCTATGATTGCACCACTGCATTCTAGCCTGGCTGACAGAGTGAGACCTTGCTGAGAAAGAGAGAAGGAGGTGGGGGAAGAGGGAGGGAAGAAAGAAGGGAAGGAAAGAAAGAAAGAGAAAGAAAGAAAGAAAAAAAGAAAGAAAGGAAGGAAGGAGAGATAAGAGAGAGAGAAAGGAAGGAAGGAAGGGAGGGGAAGAAGGAATAAAGAAAGAAAAAGAGAAAGGAAGGAAAAAGGGAAAGGAAGGAAGGAGGGAGGGAGGAAGAAAAGGAAAGCAAGTGGCTAGATGAGGTTTGAGAGCTGAATCCCTCTCTGGCTGGCAATGAGGACCCCATAGCTGGTGGTCAGTGGAGCAAAGACAGACATGGCACAAAGTGGTAACCTGTAACCCAGTTTTTATGACTTGCTGCTCTACTGAATGGTAGGCCAGAGGGAAGGAATGTTCTAGCTGGTGGAGGTATCTGGTATTTTAGGAATATGTGGGGAATAGTTACTGCAAGGACAACAGAACTGAGGAGCTATTGATGATCTAAGCATGATTGATGATTAGAAGAAAGTAATGAAAGGCTAAGTGCATTAAGAAGCTCTTATCTTTTCCAGGAGGAGGACAGAGAAAGCTCAGGACAAGGCACAGGACTTAATCATCAGCATGGTAGGACTCCAAAGAGCTCCACACAAAATCTTGTGCATGAATGTTCATTGCAGCATTCTTCACAATAGCCAAAAGGTGGAAACAACCCAAATGTCCATCAATGAGCTGATGGATATCAAAACATATCCACACCACCTGTGAACTATTATTTGGCCATAAAAGGAGTGAAGTACTGATACATGCTACAACATGGATGAACCTTGAAAACATGATGCTAAGTGAAAGAAACCAGTCTCAAGAGTCCAGATATTATATAAATCAATTTATATGAAAGTCAAGAATAGGGGAATCTATAGAGAAAGTAGATTTGTTGTTGCTTAGGGCTAGGGGTGGGCTGAGTCATAGAGATAGGTAAATGATAGCTACAAGTTACGGGTTTTCTTTTAAAGGTGATGAAAATATTCTGATTTTGACCACAGTGATGGTTGTACGACTCCGTGAATATACTAGAAACCACTGAATTGAACGCATTAAATGAGTGACTTGTACGGTATATATAAAGCATAAGGCTATTTAAAAAGTAAAGGCGGGAAAACCTAGGTGCAGACACATTACTATACTAAACGGGGGGAAAAGAGGCCTTCTGCTGGTAATTGAGGCAAAATTCTCACCTCCACTGAGGAGCAGGACTCACTCCCTCAGCCATGTGGAGCTCTCTTAAGATGATCTGACTGTGTTGTTGGATAAATGCTGTCATTCATTGACATCCCAGTTGACACATTGCAACAAAAATCATTGTGACAAGGGCAGAAAAAGAACGTTCTCCTAGATTCACCAAATCAATGACAAATGAGCGAGTCTTCTGCTTTTATAGCTGGAAGAACTTCACAAAGTAAGCTGAGCACATTTCCATCAAGCCAGGCTAAGAGTCAGACTTTTCCAGGCATTGTATGTCTCCACCGCTTCTTTCTGTCACCTCTTAAAGGGCGTCAGAGGTTATTTCACAGAGGCAAGTGATGTATTCCCAGGAGACACAATGATAATGAAGGAGCCAGAGATTTCTGGTTATAGAATTGCCTCTGCCGCCAAAAGGCTGAAGATCTTTTGGAAATTAATTTAGCCAAATGTAGATAATTTCAATTTTTCCCATCTAAAAATGCAGAGGGTAGGCTATGTGGTATCCTAGCACCTTTCAATGATGATATTCTAGATGCTATTTTTTTGGCATACCTGAGAGCCTTTTGGTCTGATTCTGGCTTTCAGGATGGAATACTACAGAGTGCAATGACTGTGTAGTTGAATGTCATATTCTAAGACTGAGTTGAGCATTATATGCCAAAAAGGGTCCTTCTGGCTTTGTTCTTATGGGAAGTCAAGAGCAGTGAGTGGTCCTATTATGTGGTTCTGGCACTCAGCTTTCCTAAACTTTCATCTTGGAGAGGACTCTGGATCCCATCCCTGCCCTCCGTTAAAAACTCTTCCATCAGAATTGCCAAAGACCTCATCATTTCCAAAAGCCTTTTAGTAGTTATTACCTTCTGTATGGTAACATTTAATACCATTTTACCCGCTTTTGTCTACGAAGCTCTCCTATTCTATGGCTTTATGATGCTTTTTTCTTTCTATTACCCTGCTTCTTCTGGAACACACTTTGTTTGTCTCCATGGGTCCTTCTATGTTGTCCTCTCTTTGGAGGGGACATCCTTCAATGTCTTTCCTTGGCCTTCTTCTCTCCCTTCTCCACTGGCTTCTTCAGGGAGATGACTCACTCTCACAATTTCAGCTGTTATTTTTGTATCTTTCTTTCCTGGAACACATCTCCACCTCTGACCACTTCGTGGAATTCTAAGTTTCTAACGGCTTGCTGAACATCATCACTTGAATGTCCTGCCAATGCATCGAATTCAGCATACTCAAAATAGACCTTGTCTTTGTCCCCAAAGTGGTTCTGTTTCCTAAATGGTGTTTCCCAGGCACCTGGCGTCAAAACTCCCAAGGCATCCATTGATCACCATGGACGCCTCCCTTCCCCTCAGACCCCATATCAGATCTGGCCTCCACAGTGTCTTGGCAACCTCTTAACTTTTGTATCTTCTATGTACCCACTCAGCTGCAGGCTTGCAGCTCGCATCCTCCCTTTCTCATGCCATTGGGTATGAGAAAGTTTCCCCAATGGTACTCTGGCTTCCATCCCCTCAGCCTCTTCAGCGACCTTCTCCATTATTTCTGGCATTGGGTGCTTCTCTCCTCTCCCTTCAAACTTTGCCTTTCCATCAGTATTGTAACATCCTTCACGTCTGTGGAGAACACGTTATCTAAACACTTATTTATTTATTTTTTAGAGAAAAGATCTTACTCTGTCATCCAGGCTGGAGTGCAATGGCATGATCATGGCTTACTGTAACCTTGACCTCCTGGGCTCAAGCAATCCTCTAGACTCAGCCTCTTGAGGAGCTAGGACTATGGGTGTGTGCCACCATGCCTGGCTAAGTTTTAAATACTTTTGTAGAGATGGGGTCTTGCTATATTGCCCAGGGTGATCTTGAACTCCTGGCCTCCAGCAATCCTCCTACTTCAGCCTCCCAAAATGCTGAGATTACAGGCATGAACCACTGTGCCTGGCCTATACTATTTATCAACATCTTCCTCCCATTAGCTTAATTTTAATTAATTATATTTAATTAAAATATTATTCATAAACTCTACCTTTCAAAAATGTACAATCGAGTGGTTTTCAGTATATTCACAGGTCATGCAGCCACCACTGCCATGTAGTCCCAGGATATTTTCATCACCCCAAAAAGAAATCCCATACCCATTAGGAGTCTTTTCCCATTCTCCCCTATTCCCAGCTCCTGGCAAACACTAATTGATTCTCTGTCTCCATACATTTGCCTGTTCTGGATGCTTCATAAGAATGCAATCATTCAACACGTGGTCCTTTGTTGTTGGCTTCTTTCACTTAGCATACTGTCGACAAGGTTCATCCATGTGGCAGTGTATATCAGAACTTCATTCTTTCATGGTTGAATACTCTGATTTCTATTCAGATCTCTTTTGCCTTTTATGGCTGAATAATGTCTCATTGTACAAATATACCACATTTTGTTTATCTATTCAGCTACTGATAGATGTCTGGGTTGTTTACACCTTTTGGCAATGATGAATAATGCTGCTATAAACACTTATGTCCAAGTCTTTGTTTACACAGCTGTTTTCATTTCTCTTGGGTATATATTTAGGAGTACAACGGCTGGATTTATGGTTGACTTTTTGAGGAACTTCCAACTGGTTTTCAAAATGGCTGCACTATTTTACATTCTTAATCATCAATGTATGGGCCCTTCAATTTGTCCATGTCCTTGTCAACACTTGCTGTTTTCTGTCTATTCTACTCTAGTCATCCTAGTGAATGTGAAGTGATATCTTATTGGGGTTTGGATTTGCATTTTTCTACTGACTACTAATACTGAGCATGTTTTCATGTGCTTTTTGATTATTTGTGTATCTTCTTTGGAGAGATTCAAAATTATTTGTCTATTTTTTCATTAAATATTTATAGACAGAAAATTTGTTTTATTTTTTGCTAGTTTTATTTTCAAAATTTATTATGCTATATTGCAAATATCAAAGGGAAATTAAAATAATAAAACCAACACCCATATTCTTAAGAAATAAAATGTTACTGACCGGGCACAGTGGCTCACACCTGTAATCTCAGCACTTTGGGAGGCTGAGGCGGGCAAATAACTTGAGGTCAGAAGCTTGAGACCAGCCTGGCCAATATGGTGAAACCCTGTCTCTACTGATAATACAAAAATTAGCCAGGCATGGTGGTGCCCACCTGTATTCCCAGCTACACAGGAGCTGGGGGCAGGAGAATCACTTGAACCCAAGAAGCAGAGGTTGCAGTGAGCAAAGATTGCATTACTGCACTCCAGCCTGGGAGACAGAGCAAGACTCTGTCTCAAACAAACAAACAAACCGTAATAATAATAGAATAAAATAAAATACTACCAATGTCTTTAAAACCTTTGTGTACTTTCTGCTGATTGCATCCCTTGTCTATCCCTCCCCAGGGTGTTTTACTTTTCTGTTTAACATTCCTATGATTTTTATTTTTAAATGTCTCATTCCTTAACAACATTGCTTTTAAGTTTATATAAATTGTGTTCTAGTGTACATTTTCTTCTGCAAGTTGATTTTTTATTTAACTTTATGCTTATGAAATTCATCCATGGTAATATGTTTAGCTCTGGTTCATTTGTTTTCTCTGTTTTGTTTCCCTATAGGAATATATCACAACAGACTTATCCATTTTTATGATTTACCGCCTCCAAATCATTCTCCACACTGCTGCTAGAGAGATCTTTGTAAAATGCAGATTTGATCAGAACACTTCCCTGTTTAAAATGTGCTAGTGTCTTCTCTTTGCCATCAGGAAGGAAAAAAATCCGAAGTTGTTTGCATGGTATAAAAACTCCTTGTGATCTGCATATAAATTCCTTGTGATCTGGTCTTTTGTTACCTCTTCAGACTCATTTTTTCATCTAGCTGCTCATAATATTTTCACTTTATCTTTCAGCAGTTTAACTGATGTGTTTAGTGTGTGTTTTTGTATATTTGTGTATGTGTGCATTTTATTTATCCTGCCTGGGTTCTCTCTGAGCTTCTTAAATCCATGGTTTGTTGTTTTTCATTAATTTTGGAACATTTTCATCCATTTTTTCTTCAAATATTTCTTCTCCTCCTTTCTCTCTCCTCCTCCTCCTTCTCTTCTTTTCTGATGCAAGTTCCATGAATGGGTTGGGTGTGGTGGCTCATGCCTGTTGTCCCAGTGAGTACTTTGGAAAGCAAAGGTGGGAGGATCCCTTGAGGCCCAGAGTTCAAGACCAGCCTGAGCAACATAGGGAGACCCTATCTTTACAAAAAATTAAAAAATTAGCTGGCATGCTGTCATGCACCTGTAGTCCTAGCTACTTAGTCGGCTAAGGTGGGAGGATCACTTCAATCCAGGAATTCAAGGTTACAGTGAACAATGATTGCATCACTGCACTCCAGCTAGGACAATGAAGAGAGCCTTTGTCTTGAAAAAAAAATCCACAAATGTCAGACCATTTGCTATTGTCCAACTGTCAATAGATTCCCTGCTGGTTTTTCCTACTCTTTTTCCTCTTTGTTTCATTTTGAATAATCTACTTTATCTATATTCAAGTTTACTAACTTTTTCCCTTAGCTGTGTCCAGCTTTCTAATAAGCTTATCAAAGAAATTCTTGCTATCTGATATTGTATTTTCTATTGCTAGCATTTCCATTTGACTTCTTAAGAGAGTTTCCATTTCTCTGCTTAAATTTCTTATCTGTTCATGCTTTGGCCCATCTTTTCTACTAGGTACTAACATACTCATCACAGTTAAAGTCTCTGTTCAATAGTTACATCATCTGAGTCATCTCTGGGTCTGATTCTATTGATTCCTTTGTCTCCTGACAGTAAGTTGTGTTTTCCTTGATTTTTTGTGTATCTTGTAACCTGTTATCGAATGATGGTTATCATTTACAGAACAGTAGTGAATTAGGTAAATAACGTTTACACCTAGAAATAGAAACATCTCTTCTTTCATGGCATTAATATGTGTGTGTGGAGTGGTTAGTCAATCTAGTTAGTAGTTGAGAAGTATTTGAATGTTGTTGTTTGTTATCCTCAGTGCACCACAGGCTTCATATTCCCCCATGGTGGCCTGCCAGAGGGACTTCTCATGTTTGTGCTCCACTTTCAGCTTCAGTCATCTCTGCACACCAATCCGATAGGGGTTCCCTACCCACATCTTCCCCTTCTGTAGTGGAAGACTACTATTATTACTCAGTGCTGGGCTCATTGTGAGTGGTAGGCAGGTTCTCACTTCTCTTGGTCCAGCTCAGTTTTAGGCAGGACCTGGGTGCCTCAGGTGTGAGGACTTCTTGGGATTCCTCCCTTTTCCCCCCATCACAGCTGAACTTTGCCTTGTGTCTTTGGTAGGTCTTGGGCAGGAGAGTATGTCCTACCACTTCCCTGCAAGAGCAGACCCCTGTTATGTATTGGCACAGGATCCTGGGTCAATGACATTTTCCTGCCCCTCCTTGTGGAGCAGACAACTGATGCTTCCACCCTTCCTCCAGACACAGTAGATCTTTGGATAATTCGGGGGTAGGGGCAGAATAGAGGGTTTTTTACTCCTCCCTTAGAAGCAGACAGGATTTCTTCTTCCTCTTCTTCACCATCCCTGGGGGAGAAAGGGTTGTTGCTGCTCCCTCATGGCATGAGGTGATTGCTTCATAGCAGACAAAGGTCTGAGGAAGCAAGTGGCGTTTCATGCCTGTCCTGAGAGGCAGCATTTGCTTCCTGCACACCCGTGTCAATGACAGGAGCTCTCTCTGGTCCCTTCCCCTAGCTGCCTCCAATCTTTCTTGCAGCTGTTGTGTGGAGATTCATGGAGAAGATCTTGGGATGAGTGCAAACTTTCTATGTATCTGACTCTCAGTTCTAAATGGATAGGTTAGCCACCTATGGCTTTCAGGAATTTGTTCAATTTTTAGCTGATTCCTTTCTACAGACTCCTACCACCACTTCTTTCTCCTCCTGTGCTCTTCCAATGTTAAAAAAGTTAATACGTTTCATTTGTCTTTGTAGGCACTTGTCAGTCCTTAAAATTTAGTTCCTTTGGTTGCCTTGAAATCTCAGCTCTCTATTGGGTTCAAGACAAGCTCTGATTTTGTAGATGATCCAGCTTTCTCTCAGCATTAGGATATGAGGAATATTCTTTTGGGGGCTTTGTACAACCTAAGAAGACATAGAAGTCCCTGACTCATCTCTTTGTGCCTTTTCCTCTTTGTATCCTAAGCCCTATGTGAACAAAGCATTCTGTGCTGCTGAGGCCGTGCTACGCTGTTCCCTCTGTTAGAAATGTCCTGACCTATTACTTTGTTTTTCTTTTATTTATTATGTTGTTGTTTACCAAATTTATTCACAGACATAGTTTAAAGCAAGTGTGTTCAAAGGCTTTAAAGTACTAAAGGCAGAGGGCCCTGCTTCTTCTCTCCCCTTTTTAAATCCCTTTTCCAATGGGCTCCATGCTCAACTCCTTTAGCTGATTATTTTGGCATCTACCTTCATGTATCTAAATAACATGCTTAGATGGCTACTTCTTGATTTTTCAGTTTTCTACAATATCAATTTACACTCCGTTACGAAATATGAGGATTTGTCTTTTATCTTTTTCTCCCACCACAAACATCCACCTATTTGATTCTCCCATCCCAACTCCAAAAATACTTTTATCATAATATTGATAAGATCAATATTTAGGGTTTACTGTAATATGACTTTTTTTTTTGAGACAGGGTCTCACTCTGTTACCCAGGCTGGAGTGCAGTGGCATGATCTCAGCTCACTGAAACCTCTGCCTCCTGGGCTCACATGGTTCTCCTGCCTCAGCCTCACAAGTAGCTGGGATTACACGTGTCTGCCACCACGCCTGGCTAATTTTAAAAATATTTTGAGTACAGACAGGCTTTCGCCATGTTGGCCAGGCTGGTCTTGAACTCCTGGCCTCAAGTGGTCCGCCTGCCTTGGCCTCCAAAAGTGCTGGCATTACAGGCGTGAGCCACCGCACCTGGCCTAATATGACTTTTAAATGATTTTTTAATTAAAATGTTAATCAAAGCTTAGCCATGGAATAAATTGTAATTACTTTAGCTTTCATAAAAAATATTTTGCTTTCTCTGCAGTAATCATTGTCTTGTTTGCTTGGTTTCTATCACCAACCCAATCCTAATAATTAGTTGAACCCTAAACTCTGTGTTCATGTCTCAATTTTTTCTCGATACATTCAAATGCAACAGATAACCTATCAATTTCATCTTCTTTCTAACATGCTGTAGTCTGGACTGGCTGCCTTTTATGCCAGGAACTTAGCTGTTATCCCGGATCTTGCTTCCTAACAACCTGTTGTAATCTCTGTATTAGTCTGTTTTTACACTGCTTTAAAGAACTACCTGAGACTGGCTAGTTTACGAAGAAAAGAGGTTTAATTAACTCCCAGTTCTACAGGCTTAACAGGAAGCAAGGCTGGGAAGCCTCAGGAAACTTACGATCATAGCAAAAGGCAAAGGGGAGGCAAGCACCTTGTTCACATGGTGGCAGGAGAGAGAGAGAGAGCGAAACGGGAAGCACCACACACTCTTAAACAACCAGATCTCGTGAGAATTCACTCACTATCATGGGAACAACATGGAGGAAATCCACCGCCATGATCCAGTCACCAGACGGGGGTCCCCACCAAGTTCCTCCCCCAACACTGGGAATTACAATTCAACATGAGATTTGGGTGGGGACGCAGAGACAAACCATATCACCCTGTTTGCTGTGGCCATCTCTTTTTCTTTTGTTTTGTTTCTTTAAGTATTTTATAGCTTCCTTGGATAATTGATGTTCCCATGGTTTATGACAGGTAAATTTATAAGACTTTACCATCATAACATTGAAACATTTATTTTATCCTATGTGATTGATGGTTAATTTTAAGTGTCAACTTGACTGGATTAAGGGCAACTAGATAACTGATAAAGCATTATTTTTTAATGTGTCTGTAAGGATTTTCCCAGAGGATGTTGGCATGTTAGTCAGTGGACTAAGGGGAGAAGATCCAACCTCAGTGTGGGTAGCACCATCCAGTCAGTTGGGGGCCTGGGTAGAATAAAGAGGCAGAGGAAAGGCAAATTCACCCTCCGTCTTCTGGAGCTGGAATGCCCTTCTCATGACCCTGCACGTCAGAGCGTTAGGCCCTTGGACTCCAGGACTTGCACCAGGGGCCTCCCCAGTTCTCAGGGCTTTCAGACTTGGACTGAGCCATGCTGCTGGCTTCCTTGCTTCTCCAGCTTGTTGATGCCCTTTCATGGGACTTCTCAGCCTCCATAATTGCATGAGCAAATTCCTCTAATAGATCCTCTTTTATCGCTCTCTCTCTACATATATATTCTATTGGTTCTGTCTCTCTGGAGAACTCTAATATGTCCTGAAATCTGATTCATCATTTGACTGGATCAAGTGTTCTATGTTGGAAATAATATACCTTTTATATTTTAGAGACATTCTCGCATTGCCTTCTCTTTCTGATGCCATTTTGATTTCTGCTCCATTGTTTGTCTCTGGTATCCTGAAATTTTATGACAATATCCTGGGTACTTCCTGTACTCTTACAAAAATAAATGCTTTTGATTCTGGGAAATTATGTTTTTTTTTTTTTTTTTATAATTTCTTCCCATTTCTTCTCTCTTTCCTGGAACTACTTTTGGGTGTTAGAGCTCCTAAATTGGTACTCTAGTTTTCTTATCATTTCTTCTATGATCTATCTCTTTTTCTTTCTGCTTCACTTTCTAAGTGAATGCTTCAACTTTATCTTTCCTTGCTTCTGCTAAATTTCTCATATTTTTAATTTTTAAGAGTAGTTTTCTTTTCTCTGAATGTTCCTGTTTGAAGACATTCTGTTTTTGTTTTATGAAAGCAATATCTTTTCTCTCTGATGATACTAAAGAGAAGTTTGTGCATTTTCTTCTTCTTGTGTAACTGCTGTTTCTTTCAAGTTTTCTTTTGCTGCTTGTTTTGGTTTCTAACACCTATTTTAGGGGCTTTTCTCAAATGCCTGGTTTTCTTGGTTGCTCATTTTTAAGAGTGGCTTACTAAGAAAACTATTGAAAGCTCTAAGTTTGTTTGTGGGGCTGGTGGAATTGTAGGAATCGCTGTTAGGAAAGTAGCTGGGCTGTTACATTGGAAAAATCTGTCAGTAGCATTAAGTCTTTCTTATAGGGATAGTCAGATGCCCCTGTGAAGGCTCTTCCAATATCTACCTAGAGAAGTAGCATGTGCCACCAGCATTCTGGGAGCTGAGTTTGGGAAAAGGGATGGGGATTTCAGTATCTATAAATATGTGTTTACTCAGCCCTTTTGCTTCAGTATGGTGCCCTCACTCCCAGCTGGGCCTCCATCTCTAGTCCAGGGACCTTCTTCAGAGAACAAGCCTCCCATCTCCTGCTGGGATAGACAGGGTGCATCCACCCATCTCTATGGAGGGAGCTGGGGAGAGGATCTCAGGATCTAACTCATAAGCAACTTAGCACTATTTATTTAGACCTACCTTTACACACACACACTCATACATGCATACACACATGCACACACACATGTGCACACACATGCATGCAAACATGCACACACACATGCACACACACATATGCACACACGCACACTTGTATTCTAGAGGTAACCACTGCCACCAATTCTTGTGACTTTGGGATTCTCTGGTGTTAATTGGATTGATTCTTGGCCTCCTTCAATACTGGTTTAGCATTCAGCTTTCTCAGGTCTTTTAATTCATTATCACTCTCCACAACTCACCCAAACCCTCCCATCGGGCCTTGAGAGATTAATATGTCATCAGTATGTCAAATAAAAAATTAGCTGGGTGTGGTGGCTCATGGCTGTATTCCCAGCTACTCAGGAGGCTGAGGTGAGAGGATCGCTTGAGCCCAGAAGGTCGAGACTGCAATGAGCCATGATGGCACCCCTGCGCACCAGCCTGGCAACAGAGGGAGACCCTGGCTCAAAAAAACAAAACAAAATATAACAAAAATAATCCCAACCAAACAGAACAACAACAACAAGGAATCAGAGAAGGCTCAGGGGAGGGACTACTGGAAGTGGCCCAAGTAAAGACAGGTGACTGGAGGCTTCTGCATAAGGGACGGCAATTTAAGCCTACACATTTACCATTGCTCCCACCTGAAATGATAGCGAAGGAATTGTTTTGAGGGCAAAAAACAAACAAACAAACAAAAAATCCCAGGAAAAAAAGATGGGAGGAGAGAGGTAGCTCATATTAGGCAGTTATGAAGAATATAGTAATAAAGGTCAGGCCAGGCATGGTGGCCCATGCCTGTAATCCCAGCACTTTGGGAGGCTGAGGCGGGAGGATCACATGAGCCCAGGAGCTCAAGACCAGCCTGGGCAACAAAGTGAAACCCAGTCTCTACTAAAAATAATTTTTTAAAAGTTAGCTGGGTGTGGTGGCGGCTGTGGTCCCAGCTACTCAGGAGGCTGAGGTGAGAGGATTGCTTGAGCCCAGGAGTTTGAGGCTGCAGTGAGACATGATTGTGCCACTGCACTCCAGCCTAACAGCAAGATCCTGTCTAAAAAAAAAAAAAAGAAAAAAAGACAAGAAATCAGGGTGCTGTTGTATGGGAAGTTTCAGCTTCTCATGGGTGGCTAAAGTGAACAGGGCTGAGAGACTTGAAGGGGTTAGTCTTCATGGCCTATTTCAATGGAAGGTGAGTCAAATGTCCAGGCCTAAGTGTCTGGCTAGAGCCCAGCATAGCTGACATTACGGAGTCTCTGGGCCATGGTTCTCTCTTGTAGTAGGAGCAAGCTTACTCCAGCAGACACTTAGGTTTCTGGCATTACCAACCTCTGCTGAAGCCCTCAGTTGATGGGGCCTTTTGGGGAGGGGAGATGTCCCTGGAACAAGCACATGGAGCTTCCTCAAGGAGCTCAGACAAGGGCAATTGTTGGGGCCCAGGAGAAAGTCATATTGAGCAGATGGGCTCTCTACCCAATGCACACAGAAGCCAATACTATGGCACGGGCTTTTGAGAAAAAAAAGGCTTTATTGCAAGACAGACCAGCAAGGAAGCAGGAGGGAGGCTGAAATCTGTCTCCTCCACTGGGGGTCTGGGGCAAGTTTTAAGGGCTCATGGGCCATGGAAAAGGACTTAGGAATAGTTGGCTTGGCAGGGTCTGACTGGAGGTCTGACATTTGACCATTTATAGTAAGGTATGTTGAGGCAGATTTTACCCCTGATCTTTGGGGCCAATGGACTCCTTGCATCTGAAATAGTTCCAGCATTCAGGTTCTGGTCATGTCCTAGTCTTCTGGTTCTGTTGGAAGGACTTACTGGTTGTGGGTGTTATTAGGGGTCAACGCCTTTCCTATTGCTCAGGCTACATGACTTGCAGTTTCTGGCTGTGTTATACCTACATGGTAACTCGACAGAGTAGGCCCAGTTTGGCCTGGTCCTATGGTTAGAAGAGAGGAAGTACTTACGTGCGCTTGAAGCAGCTGTTGGGTACATGGTCACTGCACACCTGCACGAAAGTACAGGTACCAGGCCGGGCACAGTGGCTCATGCCTGTAATCCCAGCACTTTGGGAGGCCGAGGCAGGTGGATCACCTCACGTCTGGAGTTTGAGACCAGCCTGGCCAACATGGTGAAACCCCGTCACTACTAAAAATACAAAAGTTAGCCAGGCATGGTGACACTCACCTGTAATCCCAGCTACTCAGGAGGCTAAGGCGGGAGAATCGCTTGAACCCAGGAGGCGGAGGTTACAGTGAGCTGAGATCATGCCATTGCACTCCAGCTGAGGTGACAGAGAGAGACTCCATCTCAAAAAAAAAAAAAAAAAAAGATAAAAAAGAAAAAAAAAGTACAGATAACAGCTCACAGCATTACACAAACGTCATTCATGTTTAATGCAATTGTTGCTATCTTTACACCTAGTCCTATGTTTGGAAATTATATTAACATACAGCCTGGGCAATATAGTGAGACCTCGTTTCAACAAAAAATTAAAAAATCAGCTAGGCATGGTGACATGTGCCTGTAGTCCCAGCTACTTGGGAGGCTGAGGTGGGAGGATCGCTTGAGACCTGGAGGTCAAGGCTGCAGTGAGCCATGATTGTGCCACTGCACTCCAGCCTGGGCAACAGAGCAAGACTTTGTCTCAAAAAAAAATCATATTAACATAAAATTCAATTTAATGAACTCAAAGTTCATTATGATTGGTGATAAGACTTTTGCCAGTAAGAGGTTTGGGGAAAGTAGAATGTTACGAAAATTCCAGACGGTGAGAAGCATCTGCGATCTCTTGCTGTTCTTCTTTTCCCCAGGACTGTGTTTCTGGCATGGCCAAATCAGTCACACACGCTCCATGACCCTGTGCCCATGCCCTTGAATGGAGATGCGGGTTGCTGCTGGCGTTAGGCCCCTGCCCATCCCGTGGATGACACGCCTGACCCACGTCCCCTCGCGTCTGTCTGCTGACAGGACTGTGCTCACCAGCTTTGATAAAACCAAAGAGGGGAGAACAGCTTCTCGTCACCTGCTGTAGAGGCAGCATCTACACAGGGTGGCCTCTGTCCTCTCCTTGGCTGTTGGCTTTTTACACATCAGTGTCCTCATTTCCCCCACAAACCCAAGGGCACCTGACACACCATGTCACTCAGTGACTTCACCTGCGAAGAGAAGGGGAGCAGGGCCGGGTGCTGTGTTTTCTCTAACATTGAGGTTGACCTTTCAACACCAGAATACGTGGTGGAAGGAAACAGTTTTCCCCATCCTCACGGCTCTGGAAAAGAGGAACAAAACACTACCAGTTAAATAAAAAGCTTCAAAAGGCATCGTAAATTCCCGTAGCAGGATATTTAAAGAATGGTTTTAACAATCAGACTAAATAAGGCGACCTGACTCCATGCCTGGAAAACTCACCAGGCTCAGGAGAGCTTTGTCATTATTACCTCATCTGAGAGCCACTTAACCCAGGCAGGCCCTGGACGTGCCTTGCTGGCTGATCTCACGCAGGAGAGATCGGTGCAGTGCAGGCAGGTGGCAGACTGGCCGTGCCTCCACACGGGCCCTCCCTGGCCACCACTGTTCGGGATTCAGTTCTTGTTTCTGTTGTTACTCAGAGGGCATAGAGGAGACCGGCATACCCAGCGGCCAAAGGCAGGGCCCAGGCGGGGGTGAGCACAGGTGTGTTATTTCTTTCTTTCCACTTCTACTTGGAGGCATTTCTATAGGGAAAGGGAGTTAGGGTTTCTCTGCAGCAAGCAACCCCCTTGCCCTTCCTCTCCATGATTTTGTGAGTGCAGGAGGATTCCTGATTCTGGTTCATGTGGTCCAAGTCCATTCAGAGATACAGGTGTGAACCAAGCCCCTGACACCAACTTACTGTGTTAGTGAATAAATCACAAAGACTCTTTGGACAATTTGGGGACATTTAGGGGCCTTCGAGTTTCAATATTCTGTAATTCTGACAGCTCTCTGGCTGTCCATGGGTAATGCACAATTTTGCCTTTTATTGGCAGGAGCTGAGGATTTTATTGATTCCGTTGGGTCTGAGAAGAAAGGAGGCCCAGGCACTCATCTTCTCCTAATTAATTTTTCATGTTCCACAGCAGTGATTCCTCCTACAGCCAGGAGAGGCTGAGCAGCGGCTTCGCTGATGCTTTTTGTTAGCATCAGATGTCAGCAGAACTGGCCCACCTCCTGGTCCTGCAGTCCCAGTGGGTGGCTAGGGAGGGAACACAGCTGTCCCTTCTCTCTTCTCAAAGACAGGTGGTGGGGCAGAATTGGGGGAGGGGGACAGAGAGAGGGAGAGGGAGAGAGAAAGGAAGACAGAAAGAGGCAGAGAAGGAGAGAGAGAAAAAGGAAGACAGAGAAAGGGAGAGGGCGGGAGAGAGGAAGAGAGGAGAGAGAGAGAGAATGGCTTGAATAATTGAATGAGAATTGTCTTCCCCAGTGCCTGGCATGGTGGCTCACGCCTGTAATCCCAGCAGTTTGGGAGGCTGAGGGAGGTGGATCACTTGAGGTCAGGAGTTCGAGAGCAGCCTGGCCAACATGGTGAAACCCCGTGTCTACAAAAATTAGTCGGGCATAGTGGTGGTGCACGCCTGTAATCCCAGCTACTCAGGAGGCTGAGGCAGGAGAATCGCTTGAACCTGGGAGGCAGAGGTTGCAGTGAGCTGAGATCACGCCACTGCACTCCAGCCTGGGCGACAGAGTGAGACTCTGTCTCAAATAAATAAATAAATAAATAAATAATAATAATAATAACTGTCTTCCCTGAGATGAAAAGGATCATTTCCCAGCAGGGAAACCCTAGAGCCCAGGTGGCCCGATGGCTTCCTCGGGGTCATAAACAGCACAGTTGCAACGTGAACTTCTGTTGGTTTTCTTCACTGAAGTAGAGCTGCTGCTGCCGTGAGTTAAGGCATCAACCGGTTTTGATCCTTCCAAATAGTCACTGAAGATAGTGGCGTGCATCCCCAGGTGCTATCAGAGGACTGTTTTTCTCTTATCAGGGAAGTCCTGTGCATCTTGTCCCACAGGGCTATGGAGATGTGGTTGGCATGGGACACACCCCCTTCATGCTTAGTTAAAGCGCAATTGCACTGCTGAGGACCGGCTTTGTCTCATCCCCCGTCATGCTGTGAACATTCTGGAGAGAGGAAGTCTGTTTTGTTTTTCTGGCTCCCAGGACCCCATCCAGAGAGACAGGAAGCTAGGAGGTGCCCGTTGAACAGTTGTTCAATGGATGTGAAATAAAAGAACATAAATATGACCCTTGCTTTTATCTTCCTTGGGCATCCCAGGCTCTGGCATTTAGATCAAATGGTTACAGTCTATAGAAGTTGATTCTGTAGACTGTGGTCTGGGAGCACAGGGCAGAAGCTCAGCCCAATGATTGCCCTTCAGTGTGTCGAACGCCCTGTGCTTCACTACCAGGCTTTTTGATGTGGCTGAGAAAGTTTACGTTCAATCTCAAAATGCTCTCCTTAGGGAACATCTAATACGGTTTCCTTGAGAAAATAAATTAATTTCTCAGGTTTGGCATTGGCAAGTGTCCCACTCACTGCCCGTTAGGAACCCTGCTTTCCAAACCTATACTCCTCTTACTATGTCATCCTGATGCCCTGTTTAGTTGCTTCTCATAAGAATAGAAATGGTAGCCGGCCCTGGTGGCTCACACCCATAATCCCATTGCTTTAGGAGGCCAAGGCAAGAGGATTTCTTCAGACCAGGAGTTCAAAACCATCCTGGGCAACTTATCAAGACTCCACCCCTTAACAACAACAATTTATTTATTTATTTATTTATTTATTTATTTATTTATTTATTTATTTATTTAGAGATACGGTCTTGCTACATTGACCAGACTGGTCTTGAACTTCTGACCTCAAGCGATCCTCCCATCTCGGCCTCCCAAAGTGGTAGGATTATAAGTGTGAGACACAGCACCCAGACTAACAAAATATTTTTAAATCAGCTGGGCATGGTGGCTCACACCTGTAGTCCCAGCTACTTGGAGGCTGAGATGGGATGACTACTTGAGCCCAGGATTCCAGGATGCAGTAAGCTATGATCATGCCACTGTAATCCAGCATGGGTGACAGAACCAGACCCTGTCTTAAAAAAAAAAAGGAAAATAATAGTAAGGGTGGTAGGGGAAGAGGGATGAAGAGCGGTTGGTTATGGGTACAAACATACAGTTAGATAGAAGAAATAAGTTCAGATGTTTGATAGCACACTAGGGTGATGATACTTAGCATCAATGTTATGCATATTTCAAAGTAACTAAAAGAGAGGACTTGAAGCCAACACAAAAATGATAAACACTCAAGGTGAGGCATTTCCCAATTACCCTGACTTGATCATTACACATCCTTTGCATGGAGCAAACACTCATATGTGCCTCATGAATATGTAAATCATTATATATCAATAAAACGGAGAAAACTAGATAATAAAAAATAGAAATGGAGGAGATTAAAGAATAGAAATGGAAAAGCATGTGTAGTAAGTGAGTGGGAGGACGATATGTTGAAGTGAGTTGCTTCAGAATGCGGGTGCTTAACTTTGTCATGTCCATTGGGTACCACGAATGACTTGAAGATGTCATTTTTTTTTCTGGATAGGACAAAGGGAATGTAGGTGTATATTCTGGTATCTCCCCATTTCTTTCTCTTATGCCTGAGGTTTCTTGGTGAGTTTTGTTAAGTTCATTTGTGACATCCTTTTGGAAACAGAGCGTAAACTTGTTCTATCTCTCTGTCTTCTCTCCGTTCTTGCCCAGGCTGGGACTCTATTCCCTGGGGTGATGGAAGACTGGCTCTTGAGCTGCATCCTTGGTAGCTTTTCCTTCTTCATCTCATTGCCAGTGAGGACACTGAGGAGGAGAAGGAGGTGAGGAGGAGGAAAAAGATGAGGAAAAGGAGAAAACCAACCACGATCCACTGTCACCAAATGAGCATGCCAGGTTGCCATGCTGCACAGCTCCAAGAAGCACCACTGTCCATGTGGTCAACATGGATGGATCCCTGAGGAGGTGTCCAGCAGCAGCCTGCATGCCATGCGTGGCTCTGAAGTCAATAATCCTGGAAAAAGGGTCATTCCTTCCCAATAAACGACAGTGGGCTATCTCCCGCAGACACCCACGAAATTTCCCTCCTTTTCCTTCCATGGAGGACTGGTGAAAACGTCATCATGGACCTGACCTGCATCTGGAGACCATCCCTCAGAGGTGCTGCAGAGCTCCTTTCTGCCCAGGCATTTACGGTGGGTGAGAACTTGGAGAGGCGAGCTCACGAGGGAGTTGGGGTTTTGACTTGGCCATGACTACTCAGCTCAGGATGAAAGCTGATACTTTCTGAGTGCATTCTTTGATTAACCCTTCAATCCTCACAATCACCCCATGTCACCAGGAGGAAACTGAGGCAAAGTCCACACAACTGGCAAATCTGGTATGACTCTCTTTCTGTCACAGCAGTTTGCTGGCAACAGACCTACAGCCAGATGCTCAGGTGAGTTAGTTCCAGTGGCTGCTTTTTTGTGGCACCCAGACCTCCATTCTCTCCCTTCATCACTGACCTGTTGCTGGTGCCTTCTTGGGACTCTCCCAAGGCCTTGCTGCTTTTCTCTCCTCCTGGGCTTTGACCAAGGCTTACCCATGTGGCCACACAGTTTCAGCAACTTGGGGGAAAATGATAGGAGGTTGAATCCCTTTCCCTTAGGAAGGGACTGAGGCTTCTCATGCTCCATCTAGCAATTGTGTCTTTCTCAAAATGTACAACATTATGTTCCACGAGAGACTCAACACACAGGTGCACAGGTGACATATAGGTGGCTTTTTGCCTATGGAGAAAGTGGAGCATCGGAGGAGCCACAGAGAGGGAAGTGAGGGCTAGCAGGTGAGGGCGGTGTGATGTTTCTTCTCCTCTCAGCCAAGCTCTGTCGCTCCTTGCTCCAAGGGACAGACTGTGCTCCTGTGGGAAGCCTCTGACCTCACTCCAGTGAGAACAGCAAAGTGAGTGGAGGTGACCCAGCCGCCCTTCTGCCCACCACAGCTGCTTAGCTGGAGGATGAAATACACTTATTAGCCAAACCCAATGACAGGCCTTCGTTTCTGCTTTTTAATCCCTCAGTAGTTTATAAATGTTCCTTTCTCTTTTGCAGCTTTGAACTACACCCCTTTCTTTAAGGAATGTCAAATTAAACTTGAATACAAAAGAATATTTCTCACCATCATACCATATAAGTTTTTATGTGTAATTTTATGGCTACGCTTTCCGACTAGATATTAGTATTATAATATTCCAAAGCGAAAAGCAAAAAAGAGTTATTGCCATTGAGATGTAAATATGAATAAACACCGTTTTTAGAATCCAGTGATTTTTGTCAGGCTTTTGGGAGTGCTTGCTTGTCATTTTATAATTGCAATGAAACTGAAAAATAGACCTGAAATTATATAAAAATACATCAAGGAGTGCCCTGCATCTATGTTCTCCTAGTCTTTGAAGGCAAATTCTCTATGAATAGAACTTATAGAGATTCTAATTGGTCTTACAATTGAGTTTCCGGTAATTGAACATACCTTTTAGTCTTCTTTACTTCATATCATCATTTCACATCTTCTTCATTTCAATTACTGGTGCTAGAAAATAAAACGCAATACACTGTGATTCGTGTGTAGAATGCTGGTTAGTTCAGCTCCAAAGAGCAAGTAAGATGTTCTATGCTCAGCTCTCTCCTGGGTCTGCTCATAATAGGTATTCAGTAAATAGTTGTTGAATGATTAAATAAATGAATGAGCAAATGGATACAAGGATGCTGCTATGTAGCATTATGTAACTTGCTTAGATTGTATGTATTTTTTACTGTCTGTCTCCCCTCAATGGGATGACGGCCTCTCGAGGGCAGACGTTTTCGTATGATTTGTTCACAGGTGTATCCCAGGCACGTAGTAGGATGACTGACACATAAGGTACTTGGCAAATATTTCTTGAACAATTAACGAGTCTGGGGCTGTAGCCACAGATTGCACTTTCTCATCTCAGCCAGATGGTTCTTAAATGTATATCTTCAGTCATAAAGGGAATTGGGAGAAATATTTTAGATGTGTTAAAGAATGAAAGCAGATTGCTCGCTGTTCCTGGTCTCTTTACACAAATGAGTCTGCCCACAAGAGCCCTCACGGGGAATGTGTGAAAGGCGACTGTCGACCCCAGCGTTTCTTTCTTAGGAATTCCTTCAGACCACCTTTAATTTGTCTGCTGTGTAGTTTCTCACTTTTTGGCTCCTCACTATACTCACTTCTCATGAAAACAGGGACTCAAGTGGATGCGTACACCCATGTTCGTTGTGTGCTCTTCACAGTAGCCAAAAGGTAGAAGCAACCCACAGTGGGTGAATAGATAAACAAAATGTGGTACGTGCATGCAATGGAGTATTATTCAAACTTTATTTTATTTTACTTTTCAAGTCTAAGTGTTTAATTATTATTCACCTATTTCACAGAAAAAAGAGGAATGTAGCAAATGGGTCGGGGTTGTAGAAAAAAAAATCCCGGACTTTACGTGTCATTCTGTTTTCATCCGAGAGCAGGGCAGTCCCGACATCAGGCACAGCAGCTGCACTTTTCCGAAGCCCCTTTGCGGATGCAGCCCTGGGCACACTTGGCACAGCCCAGGGGGCAACAGGAGCAGCAGCTCTTCTTGCAGGAGGTGCATTTGCACTTTTTGCACTTGCAGGAGCCGGCGCAGGCGTAGGAGCCTCCAGCGGCGCAGGAGCAGTTGGGGTCCATTGCAAGCCGAGGTGAGACCGGCGTTCCCAAGCGAGAAGAGAAGAGGCAGTGGAACACGTGGAGGGCGTCGTGGATTGATTCAAACTTTAAACAGGAAGGAGATTCTGACACCTGCTACAACATGGATGGACTTTGAAGACATTATGCTGAGTGAAATAGGCCAGTCACAAAAAGGCAAATACAGGCCAGGCATGGTGGCTCACACCTGTAATCCCAGCACTTTGGGAGGCCAAGGCAGGTGGGTCACTTGAGGTCAGGAGTTCGAGACCAGCCTGGCCAACACGGCGAAACCCTGTCTCTACTAAAAAATACAAAAATTAGCTGGGCGTGGTGGCACATACCTGTAGTCCCAGCTACTCGGGAGGCTGAGGCAGGAGAATCACTTGAACCAGGGAGGCAGAGGATGCAGTTAGCTGAGATTGCAACACTGCACTCCAGCCTGGGCAACAGAGCAAGATTCCATCTCAAAAAAAAAAAAAAAAAAAAAAAGGACAAATACAATTCCGCTTATGTGAGTTTCCTCGAGGAGTCAGATTCATGGAGACAAAAAACTGGATGGTGGGGGAAGAGGAGATTGGGGTGTTATTGTTGAATAGGTACAGCGTTTCAGTTTGTGAAGATGAAAAAGTCCTGAAGACATTGTTAATGATAAAACAACACTGTCAATATACTTAATGCCATGAAACTGTACTCTGGTTAAAATGATAAAATTTATGTCATGTATAATTTTACTATGATAATTAATAATCTTTTAAAAAGACCCATCCATAACCACCCATTTGGGCTCTATGGTTCCACTCATGCCTTTGGCTTTGCCTTGAGGTCCTATTTCTGGAGAAATCTTCAGGTATGAATCTTGGCCTGCCTCGAGGACTTAGCTGTGTTCCTTGACTCAGGTTTGAGTGGCACCTTCTCGTGTTCCATTTGTTCATCATCTTGAACCTAAAGCAAAGAATCCACTCTTAATTGTTGTCTTGGTTTAAGTCAGGGGCCAGCACGAGAGGGTTCTTTATTACGGTTTTCAGTTAACCATTCAGCCTTATGCAGGTCCCTTGGAGGAGAAGTTGAAGAGATTAATGGAAGCCGAAATGGCTGGGAACTATAGATTGTGATTATTGTACTACTAAGATGGTGTTGCAGCTAGGAAGGAAGTAAATAATTCAATACAATACATATGTATATACACACATCAACTTCTGAGTCCATATATAAATGAGTAGGTGACTTGGGCACTTGCTTATTTATGTATTATCCTAGAGCATATATGTTATGAAAGGAGGGATTTTTTGTTTTGCTCATTATTCCATTCCCACTGTGCCTGTTATGAATTAGGTGGCCAATCAACATTAGTTAAGTGGATGAATGAGTACATTTTACACACACACACACACACACACAGACACACACACGGAGATTGAGAGAGAGGGAGGGTCATTGCTGCTTCTGGCTTAGTGCCAAAAAGAGTTACATGTAAAGAAACTCAAATCTATTATAGCAGTTAGCTTGTGATAGGCTTTCTTTCCTGCCAAACCATAATTGTGTGCTGTTGTAAATGACATCTCCTCCCATGCTTTGGAAACTTGTCTTCATTTCGAAACTGGTTTATTGTCCAAGTTAATTCTCCTCCCGCGTTTTCTTTTCTTTTCTTTTTTTTTTTTTTTTTTTTTTTTTTTGAGATGGAGTTTCACTCTTATTGCCCAGGCTGGAGTGCAATAGCACGATCTTGGCTCACTGCAACCTCCGCCTCCCGGGTTCAAGTGATTCTCCTGCCTCAGCTTTCAGAGTAGCTGGGATTACAGGCACCCACCACCATGCCTGGCTAGTTTTTGTATTTTTAGTAGAGACAGGGTTTCACTATGTTGGTCAGGCTGGTCTTGAACTAGTGACCTTAGGCGATCCACCCGCCTCAGCCTCCCAAAGTGCTGGGATTACCGGTGTGAGCCAGTTTGCCTGGCCAACTCTCCCTTTCTATACTGTTTTGCATATTTTCATTTTATGAGCAGGTTGGAAGATGAATTTTAAGGGTGTTTGGAATACAGAAAGGATGAAACCTCTGAAATTTTCTTTGTACAATTTTTAATGCTGTAAAGTCTCATGGCAATTAAACAATTATTATTTAAGCAGGATATAAAAAGTTATGCAGAGCGTGGATCTATTTAAGACACATGTAATATAATAATTATTGGTGTTATTAATACCAGTTAGTACATAGCACCCAATATTTGTTAATCATTGTGTAATTAATTTTGTTAGTTTACTTTGGGTGATTCCTCTAAGGAATATATGTGACTACATATTATTATTCCTCATAACATTCTTGGGAGCTAAATATTGTAGTTCAGAGGTAACAACATCTCAGATGTTAACTGATTTGCCATACAAGAAAGGGACTAAACATTCAGGAACAATGGAAGATTATATGGTACATATATTTTCTATTTCAAATTGCTCTGAAAAATTTATGCCTAGTCCGTTTTATCAAGCAAATGTGCAGCATTTTTTTTTTCTATAAGTCTAGCTTTTCTTTCAACACAAGACTGAGCTGGAGTATTTTGCCTCGCAGACAGTGAGTCTCAGGGCACCTTTTTGGTGGGGACAGCCATACTCAGGTCTCCACTCCACGGAGACCTGAGACTTCTGAATACCAAGAGAAAAGAGAGAGATTGAAAGGAAGGGTTCAGTCCTTGAATTCCTGTTTAAACTCCATGATGCCAAAGGGGTTAGATACATTGCCAAAAGCTTAAGCAACTGAGCAAAAAATAAAGCTGAATTGGAAATGATACAGGGAGAGAAAAAGAGTTGGGTCAGCAGGTAGGAGTTAGTGGCTTCACCCCATCTCTTTAGCTTCCCTAAGGCCTCTTGGAGGATATCTTTTCCACTCCTTACTCCACGTCTGCATCACCTGCCTCTGTCCAGGCTCCGTGGCGGCATCAGCAAAGGCAAGGCAGCCAGGGAGGGCCGCTGAGAACTGAGGTTCCAAAATAGGGAAAGTAGAAGGGGAGGGCTTGGCTCTCAAACTACTTCAGTTCTTCCTCCTCCTCTCTCCCTCTCTCTCCTCCCTTTACTGGCTCATTTCATTTTCCCATGCTGCCATTCTTTATAAGTGCAACCACAAAGACTCTTTAATATAGCATTAAAAATCCAGTTACCGAAAATCAATTTGTCTATACAAAATAAGGATGCAAGATAAACAGGATGCTCGTTCTGTAACTGTCTGAGGACTCTCCACAGGAAAGGGAGAAATGCCGTGGGGAGACATTGACGTCCTGCATTCATCATGTGATTATCCTTGTCCCGCTCGTCAGCGGCGGAATGAGACAGAACAACTTGACCTCGCCCATCAGGACTGGAGAGGTCGTTGTTGGGATTAGAAACCCAGAAGGTAGAGAGATAATATTGCAAATAGGAAGTGCTTCACACACAGTAACTGCATCCATGGCCCAGAGAACAATTGTAGCACACAAGGAGCAGGGCTGTGGCTAAAGTGTTGGCATCTGGAGCTAATAGTTCTAAAAATGATATAAGGTAGAGGTAGAAAAACAACTATCTATGTCCGAAATGAAGGATGAAGAGCTGAAGTCACTATCGAAAGGGCAGAGGCCTACTAACCAGCATACAAAGTAAAACATTTTCTAATCCTATGTTGGATATACATTTAAAATGATTTAAAAACAAATTCTCACAGAATCTCACAACAATCCTCTAATGTAGGCAGGAAACTACTACCACCCTCAGGTGACAAGGAGATGGGCTAAGTGTCTTGCCTAGGTCACCTGGCGATCACGTCTATCTCTGGCGCCACAGTCTCTCACTCACCCTGCTTGGAAACCTGCCCGTTTCTGAATCATGTGAATTTTGTGTCCCCCATGCCTGGGCAGTACCTCCCACTTCTTTCAAGGCAACAGTTTTCTCCTCTCCATTCCCACCATGTCCTCAGCAGCCCAGGTCCCTGTGGCATCACTTTTGGTTACCTGTCCAGAGTCGCCCAGCTAAGGTTTATCTCTTCTCATTAGGCTCCTCCAATCCCAATGCTATAGAGCACAATTTTCATTCTTCCTGGTGACATTGTCATCCCCAGATGTCCTTGCAGTGCCCAGCACACGGTAGGTGTTGACTAAACGTTTGATAATGGAAGTCCTTCCACGTTAAGGCTCTGCTCCCCTGTCTGCCCCTCCAAGTTCTTCGTCTACCCCCGTTTTCTCTGGTCTCACTGAGCAAAGACAGACAGCCTTCCACCTTCACACCTAAACTTGCTCTTCATCTGGAAGGTAGTGTGCTCTTGAAACTACCTTTGCAAATTTATGACAATAAGAGAAATATGACATAGTTGACTCCGTCTTTCTTCTAACCTCCAAGCTGTCCTTGGTCATCCCTGGGTATAGGCCAAGTTAACTTTGGTAGAAATTCAGTTTATAGTTTAACCTTAAAGCAAGGATGATCATAGCCCTTCCCCCAGACTAAACTGACTTTGTAACACTAATGAAAGGCTGCAGGGTTAGGAAGATGAGAGGGCCTGAATTCTCAGATGTAGGCATAAATGATAAGCAGCCATTGTTTTGAAGGTCACAAGATTTAAAACTTTCCCAATTACTCCTGGAGATAACGTCACTATTGTAGAACCTAAAATTAGTCTTTTGAGGTGATTTTTGACTCCTGTATTCCTGATAACTGGCTGACTCCACCTAGACCTGCCCATTTTCCTGCATCCCTATGATTTCATCCCCAACCAATCAACATTCCCCACTCCACAGCCCCCTGCCCCCCATACTATCCTGGAAAAGTTACAACCTCCAGGCCTTTGGGGAGACTGATTTGAGTGATAACTCCAGCTGATCCAGTGTGAGCTGGCCTGGCGTCAATTAAACTCTTTCTCTTTTTGCAGTGCTGTGGTCTCAGAGGATCGATTTTGTCCATGAAGTGGCAGGAAGAATCTGTTGGGTGATTATGCTCTCCTCCTTCCTGTAAATGAAAAGTAAAATTCTAAGGCCCTCAACTGACTGAGTGGACCCTTCTCTAGGCCAAGGGGACCCAAAGAAACCTGAAAAACTAGGTCAGGCCATATGGGAAGTGGGGGTTGGACATGCCTCCTTATACTTTCCTCCCTTTAGTGTTCAGGCACAACTGACCAAACTTAACATTAAAACAGAGATCTTAACACTGACAACACAGACTCTTTGTAGCAATAAGATACCAAATTCCAACCTGACTCTAGTATAGCATCACATGACAAATAAAGAAGGAAATCAAAACATTTCACCCCAAAATATGTTTCTTTGTCATATTTTGAAATGACCCAGCAAAGCCATCTTTTGTGGGGGAAAATATCCAGCTGTAAAGAATGTCTATTAACATAACCAAGTCTTTCCCTTTCCAGGCCCTCCCAATCCTGAGGAAATTAACTGAGAGTCTAGCACCTTTTAAAAGTCTGAATAGGAAACATTTGCCATCTATTGTCTCGAAGGGTGGCCACCTACATGATTTCATCTACATAATAAGAACCTTGGTCTCCACAAACCCTTTTCTTGACCCAGATGCTCCTTTCTATTCATCCCAGGTCTTCAGATAATAACTTAGCTGTTTCGACAAATTTCCGATTGGTAAATCTTGAAATCCACATATGACCTAGAAGCGTCCACTTCAAGATGTCCTGCCTTTCTGGGATGAACCAATGTATACCTCACATGTATTGATTTATGTCTCTGTGTGTAACTTCTGTCCCCTTATAAGGTGTAAAACCAAGCTTAACCCAGTCACCTGGGGCATATGTTCCCAGGACCTCCTGAAACTGTGTCATGGGTCATAGTCCTTACAGTTGGCTCAGAATAAACCTCTTCAAATATTTCACAGAGTTTGGCTGTTTTGGTCAACATTTCCTATCCATAGCTTACCTAACAGTGCAGGGCCAGCCTAATGTCTGCCTTCCCCAACAGCTCCAGGTCCATGGATTTTTTTCCCCTTTTTCTTATACCTAGAAACTGTGTATCCACATAGAACTTCATTATAAACAGTCTTACCGGGCTCCTCTGTGCCACTGGTTTAATTTTGTAACACCAAATGATTGCTAAACCACTTGAGGGTGAGGGAGTTTGGGGAATGTTACTCTAAAATATAGCTCCCTGGTATGAGTGTTTTGAAGTAAAGGCCCTTAAAGACCCACAGACACTGGAAATGACTTTTCCCCTATGTACATAAAGAGGGACCTACCAAGAGGGAAAATGGTTTTTTCCTTCTCCTCTGTGTTAGTTCATTACCTGTTCAGAAAAGAAGAGCAAGAATCTAAACACACCTGAACACACCCACTTACAAGATAGTATCTGTCTCTTAGGCTCAGTCAGTTTCCAAAGACAACCATTGACAAGTTAATCTCTGCTCCCCATCCACTCATATCCACTCATTCTCCTTAGTAATCATTGATTGCCCCTCAACGGAATGATCTACATTCCCTATCCCTCCCTCCCCTCTGGAATAAGAGCATATAACATCTGGGCCTCCCTAGGATAGGGGGTCATCTCTCATTGAGATGGGGGTTCTCCCTCCCGTGCATGTGAATCAATTTTCATGGCTTTTCTCCAATTAATCTGCCGTTTGTCAGTTAAGTTTTCAGTGAAACTTCAGAGGGCAAAGGGGAAGTTTTCCCTTGGCCCCTGCAAGGGAAAGAAATGAGCCTTCTCTTCTCCCATACTCCTTACTTACTCAGAACTGTGCTCTAGCAAATGCTCAGCACTATTTTTGTTAAAAGACTTGTCCAGAGCTGGGGCCTAGGACCTAAGTCTCCAATTCTCATTCTCCATCATTCTAGAAGTTAGAATACTTATGTCCTAATTCTCTAATAGCTTCTATGTTTAGCCAGACAACACGACAGTTCTATTAGTCAAGGCAAGTCAGAATTACACCTTCTCACTGGGAACTAAATAAAACTAGTGTGGGATTAGTTGTTCTTGTAACCAATTTGACCACATTTGTGAAAAATGATTGTATTAAAAAATCGCATATTGGTGAAGATTTAGGTTTGTTTGCCTTTAAAAGATTGACAAACAGAAACGTTTTTCTCTGGTTCTGACTATGATTAAAACCATTTAAATGTTAGTATTGTCTGCTTTCTAGATATGATCTTCTGAAAGTTGAGGTAATCTGGGGTGGATTTATTTTATAGTCAGGTTTTCATTTTAGTGTATCTGGAATATTTCTGAATGCTGGTAGAGTCACACAGTTCTATATTTAGCTCTTTGGCATATAAATAGAATATGATCTTAAAAATAATTGTTATTGAGTGACTAACCTAACAGAGGGGTGAGACAACTTCTCATTCAGCCAAGTTGATTTTGCTAAGTTATAGAGACGATGGCCAAGGAGAAAAGGACGAACTCTTCCTTCCCACATTGTTGTGGGTCACCCTACTTTTCTTTTGGCCAACTTCCCACAACCAGGCCCTGGATCATTCTCCTGAAGCCCCAACCGAGCTCCTGTTTCCCACTTAACCCACACCTTGAGGTAGAGGAGGAATGCTTGTTCCTCCTCTACGAAGACTCAGAGCGAAGACTGAGAGGAGGGCTCCAGAGTCACCCCCAGGTCCCGGGGGAAACCAGCAGGTTTCCACTCACCACTTTTTCTCCCCAAATCAGAAAATCTTAGTAGTAGGAACTAAGTGGTTGAGCCAGATACCTCATCGAATAGGTCTCAGAGGATGGCTGAGCGTTTAGGTAGTTCCTGTCCTTGATGGCCATTGTACTTCCTCTGGTTCGGAGACTCTGGTGTCCCTCGGATGCTGCACTTTGCCGGGGGGACTGGGCCTCAGAAGTGAGCTTCCATAGCCTCTCGGTGCTCTCAATCACTATGGCCTCATGTCCCTGTCCCAAGCTATGCCCAGGGTGAGACTGAATCCATGAACGACAGCAACAGTGACGTTTACCATTTACTGAGTTTCTGTGAGAGGCCGGATATGACATTAGTGCTCATCACACATGTTCTCATTTAATTCTCACTGCAAACCCACAAGGTAGGAATCTCCCTTTCCGTTTTACAAATGAGAGGGATGAAAGGGTCAATAAATATAAGTAACCTGCAAGGATAGGGATATTTAGCTGGCGAGTGAAAGTTAGAGTTCGATCCAGGACCATGTGAAGCCAAGCTCATACTCTTCACTAATATTAGGACATGTTGACTTTCAACAAGATTTTGCATAATTTTCCCTTCCCAAACTACCTCCCTCTTTTTTCTCTCTCTCTCTCTCTCTTTTTTTTTAAGACTCAGAAGGTGAAATACCTAGGTTGCATAAGCACAATTTTATTTTATTTGTCTCATTTGCATTATGTCATTGGCTGGAGCAAAGTCTGTTTAACGCTTTTTTAAAAAAGTGTTTCCAAAGCCCCTGGATCAGTGCTGTGTACGTAGTTGGTCCATAATAGACAGGGACTGACTAATTAGGGGTAGGACCATGTTTCATAAGCATAGGGAGAGGAGAGAGCATATGACCTAGCTCAGACTTTGTCCCGGAATCCGGTGCACTGGCAAAACCAAGTCCTTGACAGCACTTTAGTCGCTATGGACTTGGCAGCGCATGTGCCTGTCGTCTACAAATAGTAGTTCAATCAACAACTGCCCTTTCTATGCTGACGGGATATCTAGCCCTATGTAAACATTTCTTTTTTAGCACTAGATCTTAATTCCTGCAGCCCTTGGTTTATCACCAGTTTCTTGAGAAAATAATCTGTCCATGTTCTCCAGTCATGGGACGATGACTCAGGCTGGGGATTCAGGCCGTTTTCTGTGCAGTAGCTGGTCTTGCGGCCCCGTCCTGTTTGGACCCGAGCCAGCACACCGCAGCGAGGTGCTCCTTCCACCTCCCAGTGACCCGTGCCAGCCCTTCTGCTCCTTCCCCCCTGCTGCTCTTGCCTTTGTGGTTGCCAGAGTAACCATAAAAATATTACTCCACATGCTGTAGGAACAAAATGTCAGTGCACTTTACTATTGTTTTAATTTAAAAACTAACGTGTGAAAATAACTCCAGCCTGGGAGAAATGCTCTCTCTGCCAGATGATTCCTTTTGGAAGGAGAGGTACAAAATCATTGTGAAGAACTCAGGGGTAGGAATGATACCTAGGTTTAGGATAAGAGCCTAAACTCCTATGTCCTATGGTAAATGTCCCCTAAATGTTTGTCTGGTGAATGAATGAATGAATGAATGTGACACAAACTTTGCTGAAAAATTTAGGAATATATAAATGGTATATATAAATTTTAAAGTAAAACTCTTAATTCCTATTATAAATTATAATAGAAATGCTATTATAAACTTTAGGATGGTGAGTGAAGCAGGTTGAATAGTGTGCCCCCCAATTTCATGTTCTTCCAGAACCTCAGAATGTGACCTTATTTGGATATCAGAGTCTTTGCAGACGTAATAAGTTAAGGATCTCACAGTGAAATCATTCTGGACTTCGGATGGGCCCTAATCCAATGAATGATGTCCTTATAAGAAGAGGAGACTGCCAGGCATGGAGGCTTATGGCTGTACCAGCGCTTTGAGAGGCCGAGGTGGGAGGATTGCTCGAGGCCATGAGTTCAAGAACATCCTGGGCAACACCCCCAGGACACCCCCACCTCCATATCTACAAAAAACTTTTAAAAATTAGCAGGACATGGTGGCACACAGCTGTAATCCCAGCTATTTGGGAGGCTAAGGCAGGAGGATTGTTTGAACTCAGGAGTTCAAGGCTGCAGTGAGCTATGATTGCACCACTGCACTCCAGCCTGGGTGACAGAGTAAGACCCTGTCTCAACCATAACAAAAATAAGTTTCCTAAAATATAGTGAGTTTATTTGTTCAAATCTTTTGCCTTAAAAAAAAAGTTGTCTTATTATTATTATCCTAGAAGAATTCCTTATATTCTCAATACAAATCTTTTATCAGGTATGGGTGTTGTAAATATCTTTTCCTAATCTTTGGCTTGCCTTTTTAATTTCTTAACAAGAAAAGTTTTAAATTTCGATCAAGTCCAATTTATCAACTTTTTTTCTTTTACAGTTTGTACTTTTTGTCCTCTCTGAGATATCTTAGATACAAACCAAGGTCACAAACATTTCTTCTGAAGTTTTCTTCTAGAAGTTTTATTGCTTTAGCTTTTACATTTAGGTTTATGATCATTTTGAGTGAATTTTTGCAGATGAATATGAAATGAGGTATGACAAAGTTATTTTTCACATATGTGTCCATTTGTTACAGCACTGATTGTTGAAGAGATGATTCTCTCCCTCATTGAATTACCTGTCACCTTCATCAGAAGTCAATTGAGCTGGGTGCAGTCGTGCACATCTGTAGTCCCAGCTCCTTGGAAGTTGCAGTGGGAGGACTGCTTGAGTCCAAGAGTTCGAGGTCAGCCTGGGCAACATTGTGAGACTTCGTCTCTTAAATTTTTTTTTTTTTTGAGATGGAGTTTTGTTCTTGTTGCCCAGGCTGGAGTGCAATTGTGTGGTCTCGGCTCACTGCAACCTGTGCCTCCCGGGTTCAAGTGATTCTTCTGCTTAGCCTCCCAAGTAGCTGGGATTACAGGTGCCTGCCACCACGCCCAGCTATTTTTTTTTTTTTTTTTTTTTGTATTTTTAGTAGAAATGGGGTTTTACTATGTTGGCCAGGCTGGTCTCGAACTCCTGACCTCAGGTGATCCAACCACCTTGGCCTCCCAAAGTGCTGGGATTACAGGCATGAGGCATCATGCTCAGCCAATTACAAATCAATTGATCACATATATGTGGGTCTATGTCTGTAGTTTCTATTCTGTTCTACTGGTTTATCTTTGCTACATTAATAGCACACCATCTTGATTACTGTAGTGGTAAAGTGAGTTTGGAAATAGGTAATGTAAGTCCTCTAAATATTTTCCTTTTCTTATTTTTTTCTTTCTTTTTTTTTGGACAGGATCTCACTCTGTTGCCCAAGCTGGAGTGCAGTGGCATGATCACGGCTCACTAGAGCGTCAACTTCCCGGGCTCCAGCAATCTTCCCACCTCCTGAGTAGGTGGGACTGCAGGCATGCGCCCAACTAATTTTTTGATTTTTTTATAAGGATGATGTGTCACTATGTTGCCCAGGCTTATTTTATTTTGTAAAAAAAGTTGTTGGCCGGGCGCGGTGGCTCACGCCTGTAATCCCAGCACTTTGGGAGGCCGAGGCGGGCGGATCACGAGGTCAGGAGATCGAGACCATCCCGGCTAAAACGGTGAAACCCCGTCTCTACTAAAAATACAAAAAATTAGCCGGGCGTAGTGGCGGGCGCCTGTAGTCCCAGCTACTCGGGAGGCTGAGGCAGGAGAATGGCGTGAACCCGGGAGGCGGAGCTTGCAGTGAGCCGAGATCCCGCCACTGCACTCCAGCCTGGGCGACAGAGCGAGACTCCGTCTCAAAAAAAAAAAAAAAAAAAAGTTGTTTTGGGCTGGGTGTGGTTGCTTATGCCTGTAATCTCAGCACTTCGGGAGACCAAGGTGGGAGGATCACCCAAGGTGCGGAGTTCGAGACCAGTCTGGCCAACATGGCAAAACCCTGTCTCTAAAAATATAAAAATTAGCTGGGCATGGTGGCATGCACCTGTAATCCCAGCTACTTGGGAGGCTGAGACAAGAAAATTGCTTTAACCCAGGAGGCGGAGGTTGCAGTGAACCAAGATCATGCCACTGCACTCCAGCCTGGGCGACAGAGCAAGACTCAGTTAAAAAAAAAAAAAAAGTGTTTTGGCTGTTTTAGGTGCCTTGTGTTTCTATATAAATTTTAGAATTGGTTTGTAAAATTCTAAAATGTTTGCTAAAATCAGGATTGCCTTGAATCTATACAACATACTAGGGAGAACTGACAACAATATTGACTCTTCTGATCTAGGAATACAGTATATCTTTCCATTTTGGGGGATCTTCTTTAACTTTTCTCCAGAATGGTATGTAGCTTTCAATGTACAGGTCTTGCATTTTAAAATTAAATCTATTTTCAAATATTTTAATTTTTGGTAATATTAGGTATTTCATTTTTAAAATTTCATTTTCCCATTGTTTCCTGTGCCTGTATCCCTGATTTTTGTACATTAACCTGAAATATTGTGTCCTTGCCAAACCCACTTTTTACTTCCAGTAGCTTTTTTGTGGATCTCTGGATTTTTTACATAGACAATCAATGCTATCTGTGAAGAAAAACACTATCACTTCTTTCTTTCCAACACGATGCCTTTTATTTCTTTTTCTTGTCTTTTTGTACTAGCCAGGACTTAGAGTACAATGTTGTAGATGAAGGAAACCAAAATATTTCACCCCAAAATATTCTGTTTTAACATATTTCAGGATGGGTATTCAGCATGGCTGAAAAACTGTCTTTTGTGGGGGAGATTTGCATCTGCAGAGAAAGTCTGCATTGATGCCGCTAGGCTTTCTCTGAAGCCCTCCTTTGTCTGATCTAGCAAAGACTGAGAGACTGACTCTGTTGAAGGTCTAAAAGAAACATTTACCATCTATTCTCTCTGAGGGCTGCTACCTGTGTGATTTCATCTACATAACAAGATGACCTTTGCTAGCCAGACCTCCTCTTCTCTCCCTCCCAAACCTGTCTTGCCACCATAATCTGATTTAACACTACAAACTGTTTTTGGCCATGCTCTGAGCCAAAACATACTTTGGCCATTCTTTCTGTAAACTCAAGATGGTATATAAGCTTTTGCACCCCACTGGCGGGGGTTGCAGTAATCACCCTGTGTTTCTCCCCCATGCACTTTAATAAATTTGTATGCCATTTCTCCTGGTAATCTTCCTTTTGTCGATTGATTTTTCAGCAAATCTTCCAAGGGGGGAAAGGTAAGTTTTCCCTTCACCTCTAAACATACAAGTGTTGAAAACAGATATCCTTGCCCTGTTTCCTAATCTTAGGGGGAAGGCAATCTTCCCCAAAAAGGATGATGTTAACTCAAGGTTTCTCACAGGTGGCCTTTATCAGGTTGAGGAAACTTCCTTCAATTTTTAGCTTGTGTGAGTTTTTACTAGGAATGGACTTCGGATTTTGTTGCATTTTTTTTCTGAGACTATTGAGATGATCACATGGTTTTTATTTTTCGGTGTGCTAATATGGCAAAATACATGGATGGATTTTAAAATATGAAGTCAACCTTACATTCCTGGAATAAATCCTACTTGGTCATGATGTGTTTTTCTATTATTGGTTGCTGGTTGGATTTCTAATATTTTGTTAGAAATGTCATGACGAATGTGTGGCTATGAGGGTTGTTAGTCTCTAGTTTTCTGGTCTCATAATGTCTTTATCAGGTTTGGTATGAGAAAACAAGGAGGGAAGTGTTTCTTTTTTTTGCTATTTTCTGAAAGAGCTTTCCTACAATTGGAATTAAATTTTCCTTAAGTGTTTGATATAATTTGCTAGTGAAATCATTTAATCCTGGAGGTATTTTTTGGGGAAAAGACTGATGACAATGAACTGAATTACTTCAATAGATATAGAGCTATTTGCATTTTGCTATTTCATTTCTGTTTCTTTTGATAAATTGTGTCTTTTGAGAAGTTTAACAATTTAATCTAGTTTGCAAAATTTATTGACAAAAATATTCATAGTATTACCTTATCTTTTCTTCCTTCCTTCTTCCTTTTCTCTCTTTCTCTCTTTCTTTCTCTTTCTTTCTTTCTTTTTCTTTCTTTCTTTCCTTCTTTCTTTCCTTCCTTCCTTCCTTCTTTCTTTCTTCTTTCAACAGAATCTCTCTCTGTCACCCAGGCTAGAGTGCAATGGCACAATCTTGGCTTACTGCAACCTCTGCCTCCTGGGTTCAGGTGATTCTCCTGCCTCAGCTTCCTGAGCAGCTGGGATTACAGGCACCTGCCACCATGCCCAGCTAATTTTTGTATTTTTAATAGAGACGGGGTTTCACCATGTTGGCCAGGCTGGTCTGAGACTCCTGACCTCAGGTAATCTGCCCCCCTCAGCCTCCCAAAGTGCTGGGGTTACAGGCATGAGCCACTATGCCTGGCCTACCTTATCTTTTGAATGACTGTAGAATCAGTAGTGATTTCCCCTTTTTAAATCCTTATATTGGTAATTTGTGTTGTCTCTCTCTCTCTCTCATTTGTCAGTTTGGCTAGAGTTTTATCAGTTTTATTAATCGTTTTGTTTTGTTTCATAGATTTTCTTTCTTTCTTTTTCTATTTCTATTAATTTTTGTTCTTAACTTTATTACTTTCTTCCCTCTGCTTGTGGTGGGTTTAATTTCCACTTCTTTCTTTGGTTTCTTGAAGCGGAAGCTTAGATCATTGATTTGAAATCCTTCTTTTCTAGTATGTTTAGTGCTACACATTTCCTTCCCCGCACTATTTGTCCTCTACCTGCACATTTTGATATGTGGCACTCTCATTTTAATTCAGTTTAAAATATATTCTAATTTTCCTGTTGTTTTCTTGTTTAATCTATGGGTTATCTAGAAATATGTTGTATAATTTTGAAGATTTTAGGGATTTTCTGGATATCTTTCTGTTATTTATTTCATTATAGTCACAGAACATACTTTGTTTGATTTTAGTACTCTTAAATTTATTGATACATGTTTTATAGCCCAAGATATGGCTCATATTGGTGAATGTTCTGTATAGATTTGGAAAAAAATTGTGTTCTGCTATTGCTGAGTAGTGTTCTACAAATGCCAATTAGATCAAGTTGGTTGACAGCAGTGTTTTATCAGTTATAGCAGTCTAACTGATTTTCTGTCTACTTGTCCTGTCAACTCAATCAGAGAGAAGTGTTGAAATCAACTAAAACTGTGAATTTGTCTATTTTTCTTGTCAGTTCCAGTTTTGCTCTGAAGCTTTGTTACATACAAATTTAGGATTATGTTCTCTTGATATTGATGCTTTTACCATTATGAAATAATCATCTTTATTGAAACATATTTTATCTAATATTAGAATGGCCACTCCAGTTTTCTTTTTATTAGAGTTTCCTGGCATATCTTTTTTCATCATTTTACTTTTAAACTATTTGTGTCTTTTTAGTTAAAATGAATTTTTTATAGATAGCATATGTCTTGCTTTTTTTTTTATTTTTTATTTTTTATTTTTTATTTTTAATGTTTTTTTTTTATTATACTCTAAGTTTTAGGGTACATGTGCACATTGTGCAGGTTAGTTACATATGTATACATGTGCCATGCTGGTGCGCTGCACCCACTAACGTTTCATCTAGCATTAGGTATATCTCCCAATGCTATCCCTCCCCCCTCCCCCGACCCCACCACAGTCCCCAGAGTGTGATATTCCCCTTCCTGTGTCCATGTGATCTCATTGTTCAATTCCCACCTATGAGTGAGAATATGCGGTGTTTGGTTTTTTGTTCTTGCGATAGTTTACTGAGAATGATGGTTTCCAATTTCATCCATGTCCCTACAAAGGACATGAACTCATCATTTTTTATGGCTGCATAGTATTCCATGGTGTATATGTGCCACATTTTCTTAATCCAGTCTATCATTGTTGGACATTTGGGTTGGTTCCAAATCTTTGCTATTGTGAATAGTGCCGCAATAAACATACGTGTGCATGTGTCTTTATAGCAGCATGATTTATAGTCCTTTGGGTATATACCCAGTAATGGGATGGCTGGGTCAAATGGTATTTCTAGTTCTAGATCCCTGAGGAATCGCCACACTGACTTCCACAATGGTTGAACTAGTTTACAGTCCCACCAACAGTGTAAAAGTGTTCCTATTTCTCCACATCCTCTCCAGCACCTGTTGTTTCCTGACTTTTTAATGATTGCCATTCTAACTGGTGTGAGATGATATCTCATAGTGGTTTTGATTTGCATTTCTCTGATGGCCAGTGATGATGAGCATTTCTTCATGTGTTTTTTGGCTGCATAAATGTCTTCTTTTGAGAAGTGTCTGTTCATGTCCTTCGCCCACTTTTTGATGGGGTTGTTTGTTTTTTTCTTGTAAATTTGTTTGAGTTCATTGTAGATTCTGGATATTAGCCCTTTGTCAGATGAGTAGGTTGCGAAAATTTTCTCCCATGTTGTAGGTTGCCTGTTTACTCTGATGGTAGTTTCTTTTGCTGTGCAGAAGCTCTTTAGTTTAATTAGATCCCATTTGTCAATTTTGGCTTTTGTTGCCATTGCTTTTGGTGTTTTGGACATGAAGTCCTTGCCCACGCCTATGTCCTGAATGGTAATGCCTAGGTTTTCTTCTAGGGTTTTTATGGATTTAGGTCTAACATTTAAATCTTTAATCCATCTTGAATTGATTTTTGTATAAGGTGTAAGGAAGGGATCCAGTTTCAGCTTTCTACATATGGCTAGCCAGTTTTCCCAGCACCATTTATTAAATAGGGAATCCTTTCCCCATTGCTTGTTTTTCTCAGGTTTGTCAAAGATCAGATAGTTGTAGATATGCGGCATTATTTCTGAGGGCTCTGTTCTGTTCCATTGATCTATATCTCTGTTTTGGTACCAGTACCATGCTGTTTTGGTTACTGTAGCCTTGTAGTATAGTTTGAAGTCAGGTAGTGTGATGCCTCCAGCTTTGTTCTTTTGGCTTAGGATTGACTTGGCGATGCAGGCTCTTTTTTGGTTCCATATGAACTTTAAAGTAGTTTTTTCCAATTCTGTGAAGAAAGTCATTGGTAGCTTGATGGGGATGGCATTGAATCTGTAAATTACCTTGGGCAGTATGGCCATTTTCACAATATTGATTCTTCCTACCCATGAGCATGGAATGTTCTTCCATTTGTTTGTGTCCTCTTTTATTTCCTTGAGCAGTGGTTTGTAGTTCTCCTTGAAGAGGTCCTTCACATCCCTTGTAAGTTGGATTCCTAGGTATTTTATTCTCTTTGAAGCAATTGTGAATGGGAGTTCACTCATGATTTGGCTCTCTGTTTGTCTGTTGTTGGTGTATAAGAATGCTTGTGATTTTTGTACATTGATTTTGTATCCTGAGACTTTGCTGAAGTTGCTTATCAGCTTAAGGAGATTTTGGGCTGAGACGATGGGGTTTTCTAGATAAACAATCATGTCGTCTGCAAACAGGGACAATTTGACTTCCTCTTTTCCTAATTGAATACCCTTTATTTCCTTCTCCTGCCTGATTGCCCTGGCCAGAACTTCCAACACTATGTTGAATAGGAGCGGTGAGAGAGGGCATCCCTGTCTTGTGCCAGTTTTCAAAGGGAATGCTTCCAGTTTTTGCCCATTCAGTATGATATTGGCTGTGGGTTTGTCATAGATAGCTCTTACTATTTTGAAATACGTCCCATCAATACCTAATTTATTGAGAGTTTTTAGTATGAAGGGTTGTTGAATTTTGTCAAAGGCTTTTTCTGCATCTATTGAGATAATCATGTGGTTTTTGTCTTTGGCTCTGTTTATATGCTGGATTACATTTATTGATTTGCGTATATTGAACCAGCCTTGCATCCCAGGGATGAAGCCCACTTGATCATGGTGGATAAGCTTTTTGATGTGCTGCTGGATTCGGTTTGCCAGTATTTTATTGAGGATTTTTGCATCAATGTTCATCAAGGATATTGGTCTAAAATTCTCTTTTTTGGTTGTGTCTCTGCCCGGCTTTGGTATCAGAATGATGCTGGCCTCATAAAATGAGTTAGGGAGGATTCCCTCTTTTTCTATTGATTGGAATAGTTTCAGAAGGAATGGTACCAGTTCCTCCTTGTACCTCTGGTAGAATTCGGCTGTGAATCCATCTGGTCCTGGACTCTTTTTGGTTGGTAAACTATTGATTATTGCCACAATTTCAGAGTCTGTTATTGGTCTATTCAGAGATTCAACTTCTTCCTGGTTTAGTCTTGGGAGAGTGTATGTGTCGAGGAATGTATCCATTTCTTCTAGATTTTCTAGTTTATTTGCGTAGAGGTGTTTGTAGTATTCTCTGATGGTAGTTTGTATTTCTGTGGGATCGGTGGTGATATCCCCTTTATCATTTTTTATTGTGTCTATTTGATTCTTCTCTCTTTTTTTCTTTATTAGTCTTGCTAGCGGTCTATCAATTTTGTTGATCCTTTCAAAAAACCAGCTCCTGGATTCATTGATTTTTTGAAGGGTTTTTTGTGTCTCTATTTCCTTCAGTTCTGCTCTGATTTTAGTTATTTCTTGCCTTCTGCTAGCTTTTGAATGTGTTTGCTCTTGCTTTTCTAGTTCTTTTAATTGTGATGTTAGGGTGTCAATTTTGGATCTTTCCTGCTTTCTCTTGTAGGCATTTAGTGCTATAAATTTCCCTCTACACACTGCTTTGAATGCGTCCCAGAGATTCTGGTATGTTGTGTCTTTGTTCTCGTTGGTTTCAAAGAACATCTTTATTTCTGCCTTCATTTCGTTATGTACCCAGTAGTCATTCAGGAGCAGGTTGTTCAGTTTCCATGTAGTTGAGCGGCTTTGAGTGAGATTCTTAATCCTGAGTTCTAGTTTGATTGCACTGTGGTCTGAGAGATAGTTTGTTATAATTTCTGTTCTTTTACATTTGCTGAGGAGAGCTTTACTTCCAACTATGTGGTCAATTTTGGAATAGGTGTGGTGTGGTGCTGAAAAAAATGTATATTCTGTTGATTTGGGGTGGAGAGTTCTGTAGATGTCTATTAGGTCTGCTTGGTGCAGAGCTGAGTTCAATTCCTGGGTATCCTTGTTGACTTTCTGTCTCGTTGATCTGTCTAATGTTGACAGTGGGGTGTTAAAGTCTCCCATTATTAATGTGTGGGAGTCTAAGTCTCTTTGTAGGTCACTGAGGACTTGCTTTATGAATCTGGGTGCTCCTGTATTGGGTGCATAAATATTTAGGATAGTTAGCTCCTCTTGTTGAATTGATCCCTTTACCATTATGTAATGGCCTTCTTTGTCTCTTTTGATCTTTGTTGGTTTAAAGTCTGTTTTATCAGAGACTAGGATTGCAACCCCTGCCTTTTTTTGTTTTCCATTGGCTTGGTAGATCTTCCTCCATCCTTTTATTTTGAGCCTATGTGTGTCTCTGCACGTGAGATGGGTTTCCTGAATACAGCACACTGATGGGTCTTGACTCTTTATCCAACTTGCCAGTCTGTGTCTTTTAATTGCAGAATTTAGTCCATTTATATTTAAAGTTAATATTGTTATGTGTGAATTTGATCCTGTCATTTATGATGTTAGCTGGTGATTTTGCTCATTAGTTGATGCAGTTTCTTCCTAGTCTCGATGGTCTTTACATTTTGGCATGATTTTGCAGCGGCTGGTACCGGTTGTTCCTTTCCATGTTTAGCGCTTCCTTCAGGAGCTCTTTTAGGGCAGGCCTGGTGGTGACAAAATCTCTCAACATTTGCTTGTCTATAAAGTATTTTATTTCTCCTTCACTTATGAAGCTTAGTTTGGCTGGATATGAAATTCTGGGTTGAAAATTCTTTTCTTTAAGAATGTTGAATATTGGCCCCCACTCCCTTCTGGCTTGTAGGGTTTCTGCCGAGAGATCCGCTGTTAGTCTGATGGGCTTTCCTTTGAGGGTAACCCGACCTTTCTCTCTGGCTGCCCTTAACATTTTTTCCTTCATTTCAACTTTGGTGAATCTGACAATTATGTGTCTTGGAGTTGCTCTTCTCGAGGAGTATCTTTGTGGCGTTCTCTGTATTTCCTGAATCTGAACGTTGGCCTGCCTTGCTAGATTGGGGAAGTTCTCCTGGATAATATCCTGCAGAGTGTTTTCCAACTTGGTTCCATTCTCCACATCACTTTCAGGTACACCAATCAGACGTAGATTTGGTCTTTTCACATAGTCCCATATTTCTTGGAGGCTTTGCTCATTTCTTTTTATTCTTTTTTCTCTAAACTTCCCTTCTCGCTTCATTTCATTCATTTCATCTTCCATTGCTGATACCCTTTCTTCCAGTTGATCGCATCGGCTCCTGAGGCTTCTGCATTCTTCACGTAGTTCTCGAGCCTTGGTTTTCAGCTCCATCAGCTCCTTTAAGCACTTCTCTGTATTGGTTATTCTAGTTATACATTCTTCTAAATTTTTTTCAAAGTTTTCAACTTCTTTGCCTTTGGTTTGAATGTCCTCCCGTAGCTCAGAGTAATTTGATCGTCTGAAGCCTTCTTCTCTCAGCTCGTCAAAATCATTCTCCATCCAGCTTTGTTCTGTTGCTGGTGAGGAACTGCGTTCCTTTGGAGGAGGAGAGGCGCTCTGCGTTTTAGAGTTTCCAGTTTTTCTGTTCTGTTTTTTCCCCATCTTTGTGGTTTTATCTACTTTTGGTCTTTGATGATGGTGATGTACAGATGGGTTTTCGGTGTAGATGTCCTTTCTGGTTGTTAGTTTTCCTTCTAACAGACAGGACCCTCAGCTGCAGGTCTGTTGGAATACCCTGCCGTGTGAGGTGTCAGTGTGCCCCTGCTGGGGGGTGCCTCCCAGTTAGGCTGCTCAGGGGTCAGGGGTCAGGGACCCACTTGAGGAGGCAGTCTGCCCGTTCTCAGATCTCCAGCTGCGTGCTGGGAGAACCACTGCTCTCTTCAAAGCTGTCAGACAGGGACACTTAAGTCTGCAGAGGTTACTGCTGTCTTTTTGTTTGTCTGTGCCCTGCCCCCAGAGGTGGAGCCTACAGAGGCAGGCAGGCCTCCTTGAGCTGTGGTGGGCTCCACCCAGTTCGAGCTTCCCGGCTGCTTTGTTTAGCTAAGCAAGCCTGGGCAATGGCGGGCGCCCCTCCCCCAGCCTCGTTGCCGCCTTGCAGTTTGATCTCAGACTGCTGTGCTAGCAATCAGCGAGATTCCGTGGGCGTAGGACCCTCTGAGCCAGGTGTGGGATATAGTCTCGTGGTGCGCCGTTTCTTAAGCCGGTCTGAAAAGCGCAATATTCAGGTGGGAGTGACCCAATTTTCCAGGTGCGTCTGTCACCCCTTTCTTTGACTCGGAAAGGGAACTCCCTGACCCCTTGCACTTCCCAGGTGAGGCAATGCCTCGCCCTGCTTCGGCTCGCGCACGGTGCGCACACACACTGGCCTGCGCCCACTGTCTGGCACTCCCTAGTGAGATGAACCCGGTACCTCAGATGGAAATGCAGAAATCACCCGTCTTCTGCGTCGCTCACGCTGGGAGCTGTAGACCGGAGCTGTTCCTATTCGGCCATCTTGGCTCCTCCGCTTTTTTTTATATCTAGTCAACAATCTTGTCCTTTAATTGAAATGTTTAGTCCATTTACATTTAATGTAATTAGTGATATGTTTGGGTTTAAATCTACTGTTTGGCTATTTGTTTTATGTTTGTCTGATCTGTTCTTTGTTTCCATCTGCTTGTCTGCCTTCTTTTTGATATATTGAGTATTTCTATGATTGTATTTTGGGGGGCTTATTGGCTATGCCTCTGTTTGATTATTACTTTTTGTGGTTGTTCTAGGATTTACAATTTTCATTTATAACTTATAGCTCAAACTTTGAAATAATATTATGCCACTTCACATACAGTGTAAGAACCTTACAACAGTATACTTTAATTTCCTCTTTCCATCCATTGTCAAACATCTTACATAACTTTATAACATGTTATAAACTCCACAACACATTATCGCTTTAGTCAACTATCATTTAAATTTAAACATGAATGAAATAAGATAAAAAGTTCCTTATTGCAGTAAAAATCAGATAATGTTACTTACTTCTTTGCTTAAAACCTTCCAACAGTTTCCTGCTGCAGTTTGAATTAAATCTAAACTCAAAATGTTTCACAGGTTTAAGCTAGTTGGGGGAAGGAAGATGTCATGATGTTTTCAGCATCTAGTGCCATGCTTCTTTCATGAAAAGTTCTCAAGAAATTGTTCCATTATTAACTAATGTTCACTTTTGTGTAATTTACATATCAGAGGAACTAATTAACCTAAATGAGTGCATAGTGGTAAAAACTGTAAGATGGCAATTTTACCACTGCTCACTCCAGCTCCTAGGTAGAAGGCATATTACATAAGAGAGGGACATGTTCATTATTGTCTAGCATAGCATCAGGTGTATAATAAACAGTAAGTATAGCTGAATGAAGGGATGAACGGATATGTGGTCTTTCCTAGGGTACTTACTTACTGTTTTAGTTTCTGCTACTTCCCTATTTCCCAACAAATTAGTGTAGCAGCTAGTGATATACCTAGGATCAATATCATAGAATTGTGCAAATTGAATCTTACACACCAGCTTGTCTTCACCTTTGCTAAAGATTCTGTATCCTGTGGTGCTTGGCAGACAAGAAATGAGAGTGTTATAACATTTATTCATCTTAAAAGACCTCTTATTTCAAAGGAGTCCTTGAGAGGCATTCATAGTCTGTTTATACCTTTCAAGATTTTTTTCAGCTTCAATGCCAACCTAACTTATCTTCCCAGATTAAAATGTTTTTAAAAGTACTTTTAGTCTGTTATCACAGTTGATTATTTTAATTTCCTCATTCTGTGCTCTCTTCAGTTTCACTGTGTATTTTTTGACAGTGATTAAGCAAAGTTGCATACAGTATTCCAAGCATAGACACCCACAGTTTGTGTGTGGAGTTGGAGTCTATTTTTTTATTTATGTTTGTTCATTACTAAGGATGCCCAGCCTAATGTTATACCCTTTGGCGTTGGGGACACATAAGGTGTTCTACTTCTGGCAGTGAACTGTGTCTCAGAGCCTAACATCTTCCTTGTGGATTTGAATACCTTCACTCACTTTGAAATTCATGGACCTTCTTTTCTAGCTCATTTTGGCTTGGGAAATCTTTACTGAGTTTTCAGGACCTGGAATTTCACTACTTAGAAAATCTTAATGTCATGGGTCAAATTTGTGATACTGTTTATTCTGGATTCCAAATCATGGATATGTTTAAATAAAGTAGGTCTGGTACCAAGTCCTTGGGGACCCATGGTTTTTATTTTTTTCTCCCTCTATTTCCTATATCTAAATAGATTTGCTGTCCTAGAACCAGATAAAAGGCCCCTTGATAAAGACGCTTTAAATAAATCACATGCACAGATTCAATCCTGTCCATGTGTCTTTTTTCCCCTCAAAAAAACTTAAAAAGATGAGTTAGTCATGATTTCCTAGGACAGAAATGATGGTGCCTCACGCTCCCCCTCTGGACCCCTGATCTGTGTATTTCCAGGCAGCTGTTGCTATGGTATGAATATTTGTGTCCCCTCAAGATTTATACATTGAAATCCTAACCCCCCAGGCTGATGGGATTAGGAGGCGGGAACTTTGGGAAGTGATTAGGAAGCAAGATTAGAAATGGATTTGGCCTGTGAATCAGAAGGCAAGCTCTTACCGGACACAGAATCTGCCAGTGCCATGATCTTGGACTTTCTAGCTCCTAGAATTGCAAGAAATAAATATGTGCTGTTTATAAGCTACCTAGTCTATGACATTTTGTTGTAGCAGCCTAAACACACGAAGACATCTGTGATTCCACCTTTTATTGTTGTGGACTGCCAGTTTATCTGGGATGGAAGTAGTATTTACTGCCTGCTTGCTTGTACGCACTTGCTCACTCTCTCGCTTTCCCTCCCTCTTTTCTTCCTTCCTTCTTTTTTCTTTCATTTCTTTTTACAAACAAACAAACAAACAAACAAACAAACAAACTACCCAGCCAGCTTGCAGTTCAGGAGCAGAATTCCTGGGCTTGGGATGGAGTCTGACAAGAAACAGAAGGCACTATCTCAGTCTAGAAAGAGATAAGGGGTTCAGAACAGTGCTCAGGTGACCTGGAACTTTAGCAACTGGGTGTTTCCTCCAGATTCTGTGACCAGAGCTGCAGAATGCTTCTTGCTGTGGGCTCAGATTGGTTCTGGGACCAGGAAGGGACCTAGCATGTGTATGGTTTCCTAAATAATAGGCTTTTTGTTATTATTACTATTAGTTGCCTTTTAATGAATGGAAATAAGGAAGAATTTTTTTTTAATTGGAAGATATGCTGAACAGATTAAGGTTGATGAGCAAATAATTAAAATGTATTTTAAGGGTATGCAAATTGAATTCATAGAAATTGAAAAAGAAATGAAAAACGAAGCTAGAGCAGGAGGACTGAACATTTCCACACACACTTTCTTAAGAACAAAACAGTGATGTCCATATACGGAAAAATAGAAAAATGTTCAATGGAAACTAATTGACTAAGTAAAAACACTTTCTAGGACATGGAATATAAATGGGAATGTTACAGGAATGAAAGTGGGGGCCCAGCATGGTGGTTCACATGTGTAATCTCAGCATTTTGAGAGGCACAGGTGAGAGGACTGCTTGAGTCCAGAAGTTCGAGACCAGCCTGGGCAACATAGTGAAACTGCCGTCTCTGCAAAAAAAGTAAAAAAAAAAAATTAGCTGAGAATGTTGGCGGGCACCTGTAGTTCCAGCTACTTGGGAGGCTGAGGTGGGAGGATCGTTTGTGTCTGGAGTTTGAGATTATAGTGAGCTGTGATTGTGCCACTGCACTCTAGCCTAGGTGAAAGAGTGAGACCCAATCTCTCAAAAAAAAAAAAATAAATAAATAAAGTTGAATGTGGGGTAGTTTACTAGGAGAAACATGAATAATGAAAATTAGTAGATAAAATGAGAGAATTAAAGCAAACTCTATAAAGAAAAATTGAAAAAGACTAAATGGTTCAGTAATGAGATATATTAATAAAAGTAAGTATTTTTTCTTATTAGATGGACATAGAAATCTGATTCGAAATGACACTACAGGATAGAGACTTGAAACAAACTCAACTGTCTATTTATTCATCAATCTGTCTATCTATATCGAGTATCACTGTGTGGTTTTATTTTGAAGGTACAAATTGAATTTAAAGAAACAATGGAGAGGAAAAATCCGAGTCATATGTATTGACAAATTTCAGTTATTTACCTTTTTAAGTACTGAGCAGGCATTGGTCTCATTTTGGAGATTTCGTGCAGGAGAATTTTGGATATTAATCAAAATAATAAGTTACATATTTAGAGAAAGAATAATCTAGAAGTCTTTGGACCGATAAGCCTAACCTGTCTATCAGGAAAGAGACTGGAAGAAAATAATTGTGTAACTATTTGATTAATATTTTCATAAGAACGGCAGCAAACAGGATGGCCTTGTAAAGAACAAATCCTGTCAGACTATAACTTCCTCTTCTGACAAAATGAGTAGTCAGCTGGATTGAAGGAGAGGTAATAGACTATCTTCACTTTGCCAAGGATTTTGATTTCTGCTCAGCAAGCAAATACATGAGACAGTTTTGGGTAGTGATGACCAATTTAGAAGGAAATAAGGCAAGGTAATGAGGGGGAAAGTGATGAGTGAAGGCTGATACCTTAGAAATGGTGGTCAGGAGTCTGGATGCGGTGGCTCATGCTTGTAATCCTAGCACTTTGGGAGGCTGAGGTGGGTGGATCACCTAAGGATAGGAGTTTGAGACCAGCATGACCAACATGGTGAAACACCGTCTCTACTAAAAATACAAAAAATTAGCTGGGCATGGTGGAGTGCACCTGTAATCCCAGCTACTTGGAAGGCTGAGTCAGGAGAATTGCTTGAACCCCGGAGGTGGAGGTTGCAGTGAGCCAAGATTGCGCCATTGCACTCCAGCCTGGGTGACAAGAGTGAAACTCTGTCTCAGAAAAAAACAAACAAACAAAAAAAAGAGACGGTGGTCAGGGAGGCCTCTTGGACAGGATGTTTCAGCCAGCATCCAAATAGTGACAAGGCACCAGTCATGTGACCTTCCCAGGGAGAGTGCTCCACAGAGGAGGGCTTAGTGGGTGGCCTTGGCCAGTGCGGTTAAAGTGCATTGAATAAAGGGGGCGGGTATGGGATAATGAGAGGGGTGGGAAAGAACAGAGAAGCAGGTCCCTGTTAGGTGTGTGATTGAGGGCATGGATTCTACTCAAGGACAAAGAGAAGAGGTATAGGGGGACTAGACCGGGCAGAGGCAGGAGAGAGAGGCTTTGGAAGCAGAGCAGAGGGTAGGGGGCCTTGGACTAGGGCACTGGCAATGACGTAATTAGAAGCATCCAGATTTGAGATATATTTAGAAGTAGGACTTGCTGATGGATTAGACGTGGGGAGTGAGGGAAGACAGTTAATCCAAAGATGATTCCTGTGTCTTTGGCTTGATAATGAGGCACCATCCACTGAGACGGGGAAGACTGAAGAACAAGAGGTTTGGGGAAGAGATTTGGGAGATGGGGGCTCTGTCTGGGAAACGTCCTATTTGAGCTGTCTGCTGTGCATTCCCATGGAGGGGCTGCGTAGATAGTTGGATATAATTGTAGAGCTTAGGGGGAGAGGTGGACGCTGGAGATAAACTAGAAGTCACAGCCTAGTGGTGATATTTGGATGATCTTATTTGGATTCTCACAATTTCTCTGGAGGCAGTTATAAAAAACAGTAGATGGGTGGGGGGCAGTGGCTCACCCCTGTAATCCCAGCACTTTGGGAGGCCGGGGTGGGCGGATCGCTTGAGGTCAGGAATTCAAGACCAGCCTGGTCAACATGGCGAAACCCAGTCTCTAGGGAAAATACAAAAATTAGCCAGGCATGGTGGCGGGCACCTGTAATCCCAGCTACTCAGGAGGCTGAGGCAGGAGAATTGCTTGAACCCGGGTTTAAGTTGCAGTGAGCTGAGATGGCGTCACTGTACTCCAGGGTGGGGACAATGGAGCAAGGCTCAGTCTCAAAAAAGAAAAAATTAAATTAAAAATAAAACCCAGTAGATGATGGAGGGTACGCCATTCACCCACGGGTGGCCAGGCGTGTCGGCAGAACTCAAGGCCCAGGAAGAAAAAGAGCAACAAGGAGGAGAGGTCAGATCAACAAAGGGGTTTCCAGGGCCCTCTGTGCCTTGAGCAAAGCCTTACCAGAGGAACAAACAAAAGTATCGCAAGGGACATACTTACACTAAGAAATTATTGGTGGCTTCTCTGAAATTTAAATGTATCTGGGTGCCCTGTCTTTTACCTGGCAACCCTACCTCAACATCAACAAAGGGTTGAAGCCTTCTTCTTTCCCCAGAGTTCCTGCAACTGCAGCCCTGCTTTTTAGCATGCTGTGCTGTCATCGCTTTGCACCTTTTTTCAGTCAGACGTTGTGTGGTTCCTGAAGGCAAACCTTGTGTGTGTTACGCACCTTTGTGCAATCGTTACATTGAAAGACCAGAGTTCAACAGGGATGCTGAAAGCAACTGTATTCTTTTCTCTCTCTGTCCCTTTACAACCATTTAGAGGCTTGTTTTTTTGCCTGGAGGACATTCCTGTCACTTTTAGTCACGAGCAGTCTTGACTCCATGCTGGAATGTTCAGTCCAGTTTCACAACCATGACTTTAAGCTTCAAATAGAAAGTGTGTCTCCTTCCAGAGACTGGGAGCATCTGGCTGAGGAGCCTAAGACTGAAGGATGGACTATGAGGTCAGCTTCCCTTTAATTTCCCTCCTTTGAGCCGCTCCTCCTCGCACCCCAACCAGGCTGCTTTCACCTTCCAGAGCTGGAGGTGGCCACTGAGAGTGAGGCTGAGAGCATAGCAGGAATGGTCTTAAGTTACCAGCATTGGGAAGATCTTTGAAGGTGATTCTTTCTCTGAGTGATGTTTTCAGGGGTTGCTCAGGGGACCCACCCCTCTCCTCTTCAGCTCCCTACAAGTGCTGATGCCTCCCGCACCTCACCTCTCCCCAGCCCCGGCTTCTGCATCTTCAGCACGCCTCCATTCAGTCTCTTTGTGCTGAGGTTATCCAGCCCCTGGCAGGAAGCTTTCTTGGGTAGGCACCTTTAAGACGCCTTTAAGACATCCTAGGTTGCATGCCATAACCGGTCTAAGGGAAATACTTCCGTCTGCAGTCTGTGTCTGGCAGCTAGCTCCTGCTGTGGTTGTGTATGGTCCCCCAAAAGAGCCACTTACTATTTGCATTTCTCAGGCATGAGTCAGATAGAAATCTCCAGGGGACCCATATCAAGCTTTCTGTGTAGTCTCCTTGCAGCCTGTCTTCCTGGCTTGAGGCGAGTGGGGGATGCACCTCTTGTGCCCCCTGCGTCTCCTCCCTGAGATGGGGTGGGTGGGGTTAGGGATAAAGACAGCGCTCCAACTTTCTCCAAAGAAATCATCTCTCTCAGCCACTTCTACCTCTACTGTAAGCCTCAAAATCAGTTTCCAGCACCCTCTCTGCAAACCCCACATAGGTGTCCTACTATTCTCTTTAGAATGTGGGAGCCTTTGCTACCTGTTTTATTGTTTTTGACCTTTTGGTGCCTTAGCTGAGGCTGAGAAGAGAAAGTGCCATCCTGTTACATTTGTATTTTTAGCACCTACCTCAGTGCCTGGTACATAATAGGTGCTCAAAAATGTGTGCTTATTTATTTATTTAAGCAAACGAATCATTAATCAACTACAGTAAGAAAAGGTTGACAACTGCCAATCCAGATAACCCACTAGTGTAGCCCAGGAAAAATATTTCCATAGACCCTGAGATTTCACAATTGAGGCAAGATGAGACTTCAGGGAATTCAGAACGTCTGCTAAATTCCTGATTCCCCTAAGTACAATATAAAACTTAAAAATAAATCAGTGATGAGATTTTATGTAATGCCTTGGCCCATCTCAGATCAAGTGCAGATTCCTGGGATGGTGCCACCATTTCTTTGCTTCTTGGGTTCATCTCTGAGCTCTCTCCCTCGACCTTGGTCCTTCTTACTCCCTGTAATCATGAGGGCCACTGGTCTTCCTGGCCTATCCCGCCTCAGATCTGGATGGTGCCTTCTTACCATTCAGCTTACAAGTCACTTGCTCCAAGGAGCATTTCCCTTACGGCCTTCACCAGCCTGTCCCCTCACCACCCCATCTTATGTACCTGTCACAGCACTCACCTGTCTGCACTGTGCACACTATAAGCTCCAGGAAGCAGGCACTGCCTTGTTCACTCTGCACTCCAGGAAGCGAGCACAGAACCAGGCGGAAATAATGCTGAATGAATGAGTGGATTGGCTCAAGAGCATCAGTTGAAAACCCTCTGAGTGGGGCTTTAGGGTAGGTCCACCCTGCACATCTGCCTTCAGCTCTCATTAGTGCACAGCATATATTAAGGAGAGGATGTTGGTTTGGGCAACCTCAACCTTCATGGCTGAACCAAGCACCCATTGGTGGCTCAGTACACCTGCCACCTGAAGTGTAAGCACAGAATTCTGCCAAATATCACAGCATAGAGGCTGAAAGATCATGTCAATCTTGAGGTTTAGAGCTCCTTTTCTCTAATTCACATTCCTTAGTCCTTCACCTTTAGAAATTTCACTGTGATCACGACATCCAATGACAAATTCAAAAAGATAATTCTGTTTGTATCATACACCGTTACTTGGTTTAAATCCAACTAAGAACTGTAGAAGTTGGTGTCAACATTCTCCTGGATTTTATAACCTTCCAAAAGCATCACAGTCTTAGCTCTGTATGTAACCTCCTCTTTTCTCCTGTGCCACCTGTACCCCAGACGAATATAGCTAAATCAAGATGAAGCTAGAATATGGTAGGATCTGTTAGTAAAAAACCCCAAAACACAAAAAACCCCCTAAACCCCACTCCGATATATTATATACAAAAGACATCAAACGTGTGTGTTAGGAAGTTTTTTTAGAGATAGGTTCTTGCTCTGTTGCCCAGGCCAGAGCACAGTGGCATGATCATAGCTCACTGCAGCCTCACACTCCGACAGGAACATTTGATTAAACTGGAACATGAAAACAGAAGAGGCTATTTTAGTAAATTATGTAATTAAATTTTTTAGATGTTTGAGGAATACCTAAAGTATTTCCATTTGGAGATTATGAACATGAAACCTCATTTGATGACACAAAATGTATCTCTTTCTTAAGGGATTCTCCACGGTTTGTGAGATTATCCTCTTAACCATAAAATCATAACATATTATGTACATGTGTCATATGAAAAGACAATTATAAGAAAGTTGAGGCCAAATCTGCTGGTTGCCTATTCAATGTTCACCTTCCTTGTTTTTTTTCTTGCCAAGAGAGCCCTAATTTTGTTGAGGGTGGCAATGCAGCCAGCTAAAACCTATATTTCCATTGCCTGTCTTATAAAGATAGGTGACTAAATTCTGGCCAATGAGATAGAAGTGAAAATTACTGGTGGAATTTCCAGGAAAGCTGTTCAACTGGTGGATTCGCCATATGACATGCTCCCTTTGCCCCACCATACACGCCTTGCTCCCATCTGAAATTTGAATCCAATGGCTGCAGCAGCAGCAGCCATTTTGCAACAGTGAGACTTGACTCCATGAACTAAGGATGATGGACTGAAAGACAGGAGGTTGGCACACTGATGACATCATGGAGCCATGGTAACAGTTTTGGACTGCCTAGTTTTAGACTTAAAGTTACATGAGAGAAATGATCTCCTCTGTTGTTTAAGCCCCTGTTTATATTTTGGGGGGGGTTCTATTACTTGTAACTAAAAAAATTCTAAAAGGTAGTGGAATATTTATGAGAAAGTGAGTGTGTTTGTGTACTAGATGAGAACTTATCAAAGAACTCTTTTAATATTGATAATAATAATAATGATGGAAAAATTAGAAAAATCTATATTTTTAAAGTTGTTGCACTGAACATACCATCTGATTGATTTTATTTCTGATAATATAAATAATTTCAGTTCTTTAACAGGAGCCACAAACAACTACATAAATACATGCACATACATGCATGTACATTTTAGTGAGTGTGTCCATATTCTAGGCATTACATTCTGCAAGTTATATTCATTATCTCATTTAATATCAACAGCAATCTTATGAGGTACTCTTATTATCCTCATCATATACACAGAAAAACAGAGGTTTAGACAGTTAAGTAACTTGCTAGTGAGTGGCAAAGAAGGGATGAGGACTGAGTCTGGCTTGAAAGCCCATCCTTATGGCCACTACCTTGTCCTGATTCCTGGGAGCAGGTGAACGTAAGTCCATTTGTTTAAGCCATCTCTCAAGTCAATAACAAGGCTGGTAAAATGTAGGGTGTCTTAATATTGCAATAAATAAATATAATCCACCAAGTTGGACCTCTTAGCAAACTTCAACAGGTAAGGAGAATTTCTACTCAGATGGTAGATTTCTAGTATCCAGGAATTAGAAATGTATAGAGAGCATGGAGATTCAGGTTAGGTGTTAAAATGGGTAGCCAGGTGGCCTAGTTTAAACCAGACTGAGCACACTAAACTCTTTTTCCTGAAAAAAAGCAATGAATGTTCCCATTCGGAATGGGCAGGGTATGTATTGTGTTTGCTGTCTCCCTGGCCTCATCATCCAGCACCCTCCTGCTCCCTCCTTCGCTCTGCCCATAGTGCACCACTGCACTGCCCTTCCCTGCCCTCCTCGTAATCGTTCACACATGCCATGTACACTCTCAACTCCAAGCCTTCGCACATACCAATCCCTCTGCGTGGAGTGCTCTTCCCTTAGATAGCCACAAGGCTCATTCCCTGGCTTGATTCAAGCTACTGTTGCCATGTGACTTCATCAGGGATGTCTTCCCTGACCATTTTCTCTACAAAACTGGCCCCTCTGTTAACCTTTATCCTGCTTGCTCCTTCCTTCCTTCCTTCCCTCTTTCCTTCCTTCCTTCCTTCCCTCTTTCCTTCCTTCCTTCCTTCCTTCCTTCCTTCCTTCCTTCCTTCCTTCCCTCTTTCCTTCCTTCCTTCTCTCTCTCTTTCTCTCTCTTTTCTTTTCTTTTCTTTCTTGACAGGGTCTTACTATGTTGCCCAGGCTGGACTTGAACTCAAGCAATCCTACCACCTCCACCTCTGCCTCCCAAGTAGCTGGGGCTACAGGCCCGAGCTACTCCTCCTGGCTTCTGCTTTGTATTTTTTGATAGCACTCAATGCACCTGACATATACATTTACTTGTTGGTATCTAGCTCCTCCCCTAGAATAAAAGCCCCATGAAGATAGGGCCAGTGCTTTATTTGCTAGGACAAAGCCTGGGACACACGCAATAAACGTTTGTCGAATGAACGAACGAATAAAGGGTTCAAAGAACCTGCTCATGTCCTGTTGTTCTGTGAATACCTAGAAGACATTAGAGATGGGTCTCATGCTGGGACAAACTCTATGGACACAAGCGTTTGGAGGTTACTTTTGTGTTACTGAACACAGCAAAGTGGTTAGCACCCTGCAGTTAAAGAATGAACTCCACATAGAGGAAGGGATAAAAAGAAGAAAGGTGTTTCAAAATGGAATTTTCTTAAAAGGAAAGTGAAAGTAGAAAGGTATCTACAAAATGGTAAACAAGCAGTTCATGACCATCAACAGAAAGGATCTTAATTATTACCCATAAAGAAAAGAAGTATAATAAAAAAGTAGACACATTTTCTCTGCCTCTATGCAGTAGTTATTGCATTTGAGGGACATTACCCTTAAACATACACCTACAGGCCTGGGCAATACAGGATCAAGGGCTGTGGTTCACAGGAGGGAGATACAATCTCTGGCCAGAGTAATCAAAGCCCAGAAGGGGGCTTTGAACTAGTCCTTGAAGCATGGAGTGGATTTCAGCAGGATTTTGTGGCCCTGGATGGCTAAAGAAATAGCAAAAGAAGAGGCACGGCTGAGTAGCTTTTTAATCTGCAGAACAGTAGTCTGGTTGGGAGGCAAAATGGGAATACTAGGAAAGAAATATTGAAAAGGTATGTTTAAGGCTATATCGTGGGGAGTCTCCAAAGCCAAGCTGAGGGGTTTGAACATAACCTGGAGGCATCTGGGGGCCACCTTTCAATGGTTCTAGTTCTTATTGGGCAAGGAAGTGACAAGATGAAAACATTATTATAGGGGGTGGTGCTGGTGGGAGTCAGGAAGATGATTTGCACTGGAAAAGCATAAGAAACAGGAAGATTAGTGATGATGTTAGTGAAATTACTCTGGGATATAAAGACAAGAATCAGGAAAATGCCTTTTACTTATAAAAAGACACTGATGTTCAGTGGGAAAGGTGAGAGAGGAATCAAAAATGGTGATCAGAGTTTGGATTCGAGCTGTAGTACAACAGAAATAGGCAAATCAGGAGGAAGATCTGCCTTCAGAGACACGTGACAGTCAGAATGACCTACTTGGGAAGCCACTAGGCAATTTGAGTTGGAAATGAGGCTGGGGAACCCACATTTCCTTAGGAACCCATACCTCCTGATCTGTAGGGGATACATTCCAAGACCCCAGGGGACGCTCAAAACCATGGATAGGACTGAACCCTATGTATGCTGTGTTTTTCCCCTATACATACAAACCTAGGTTTAAGTTTAGTTTATAAGAGGCACAGTAAGAGATGAACGATGATAACTAGTAATAAAATAGAACAATAATAACAATATGCCAGCATCACTACTCATGCACTTTGGAGTCATTATGAAGTAAAATAAGGGATACATGAACACAGGCACCATGATACCGCGATAGTCGATTTGATTATTGAAACAGCTACTGGCTAACGGTGGGGAGTACAGAAGAGTGGATGCGCTGGACAAAGGGATGATTCATGTCCCGAATGGGACAGAGTGAGATGGTACAAGGTTTCATCACGCTACTCAAACTGGCACACAATTAAAAATGTAGGAATTGTTTATTTCTAGAATTTTCCATTTTAAATTTTGGAACTTTGAGTAACTGGAACTGCAGAAAGCAAAGCTGTGGGTAAGAGGGGACTACAGTAATAAGCAAACTTTTCGTCGGGTGGGGACATCCTTCTCTGTGATGTCCAGGGCTCCTCCGATGCCAAGAGGTAGATCATGTGTACTTTTTCTATCTGCATGTAGTTCAGTCCTGACCCTGGAAATCAGAATACTAATTGTAGTTTGGGGCTTCATAATTTGGAAAGGAACTAATACGATAGTGGTGAATAACCTTCAAGTCTTGAAAAACTGATTTACCCTAAGAATCCAAACTGCGGAGAAAGGCACAAATTGGATATTATTTCTGAACACATAGTAATCTCTGTCTCTTTCCAGAACTTACTTGGCATTCCAAGAGCTAGCAGGACCTGCTTTGGCCTGAAACCAGGGACAGATCTCCCGGGGCTGCCAGAGCCTTTTATAGTTCATGCTAGTCTAGACTCTTTTTTGTGCTTTCCGCTTTGGGATGGAGGTAGGGGAGGAGTATAAGTCCTCGGACCCCTGTGTCAAAACTCAGCAGCTGCATACTCTTGGCCAAGCTACTTAACTTCTTTAAGTCTTCTTTCCTGTTTTTCAAAAATGATATTGCTGCGAAGACGAAAAGAAAAAATAAAATGCAAGTGCTCGGAGCATAGTAAATGCTCAATAAATGAAGTTTCATCACCATCGTCATCATTCGTAATGTAATTTCTGGCCATCTTGCATTAATGCAGAGATTCAGGCCATGTGACCTGAGGACTGGCTTGTGGTGAATTTCCCAGGGATTTATTTCTAGGACAGGTGCTCATAAGAATTATAGTATTTTAGAACACATGCAATAAGGATGTAAATAAAATGGAAATTTTGTAAAATGTTGGTCTGTTGAGTTCTGAAGTGGGATAAGAAGATAGGTATGAAATGTTCCTTAGAGATTTTGAAACAGGAAATCTGAGTTAACAAGAAATGGGCTAAATCTCAGGACGTTAGAGGCTCTCTAATCCTAATTTTATAATGATTCGATGACAATTCCAGAGGCTTTCAAGTCAGTAATAAAGCCTTTAATGTATGTAATCTTAATTGAAAGGAGCTGAATTAAAATGATAACATTGAGTATTTTGCTGAGTTTCCGTAGAAACCTTGAGGAAGAAGTTAATTTTTTAAGCTCATGTACATCATTGGGGAGCTTAGTAAATTGTAAGTCAAAATGAAAAAGCTTACATTTGTCCTAATTTTTTTCTTCTTTAAGGCTGTCTAGCATCCTGCCAAGTGAATAAGTGGGCTACGATGGCCCATTCTTAATTAGATGACTGCAGAAAAACTCTTAATTAAAAAAGCAAAAATATAATTTTTCCCTCTCTTGCAGAATATAAAATTAGTCATAAAGAAGAATACTTCCCAAATTTGGACTAAGAAACATAGAAATGTCATCCTCTAAACTTTTTATTAATAATTTTATGATTAATAAAGATTTAAAATGTAGTATCTATTGAATATAAAGATTATATTATAATAAAGCAATATTAAGATAATAAAAAGCAAAATAAGCTATTATACATAACACGAATTTAGAAAAAGAGAATTTTTTTTTTTTTTTGAGATCAGGTCTTGCTCTGTTACTAGGGTAGTGGCTTGATCATAGCTCACTGCAGCCTCAAACTCCTGGGCTCAAGCAATCCTCCTACCTCAACCTCCCAGTAGCTAGAACTACAGGTTTGTGCCACCATGCCTAGCTAATTAAAATTTTTTTTTTTTTTGGTAGAGATGAGGTCTCCATTGCCCAGGCTCGTTTTGAACTCCTGGCTTCAAGCAATCCTCCTGTTTTGGCCTCTCAAAGCACTGGGATAACAAGTGTGAGCCATTATGCCCAGCCAATAAATATTTTAATAAAAATTACAAAATATATAGATATCAAATACTATTTTCTAATGAAAATTGTAAATAATTTTTTTCTATTTAATGAACTATAGTTTTGTGCCTAGAAAAAGGTCTACTTGTTAATTTCTTTTAGTCTGAGTCTACAATAAGAATTAAATACAGTAAACATAAACTTTAAGCTGTATCCAAATTTTATGTATTTTTTCTCAAGTACACTTAAAATTGAGGTTAGTTAGTATCCTATGATCTCTGCACTGGAATTCTTACTACAATTGTCCACCAGAAGAAGAAACTAGGGAATTATAACTAAATTATCCAAAAGGGTTAAATTTTTTTTAAAAAAGCTATAAGTAAAAAGTTTCCATAGCTTTCACTGAAGTTGCTTTCTTGTAAAAATTATTTTGTTATGTAATTATGAAATATAACAGAATATCAGAGTACCAAAAATAATATTCCACCAATATGCCCATCACCAGTATTAAAACACTTGTTATATTTGCTTTGGTTTTCTTTTTAAAAATAAATGTTGTATATCATTCTCAAACATATTTTTATACTTTTAGAACAGACTAGAGATCTATAAACCTCATAGTTTTGTATTTTTGTGTTTTAAAGTCCACATACACGGTGTGTTTTATAAATAGTCTCTGCTCTATGTCTACTTGCTGTTGAAGACTGTATGGGGTGAATAAGAAACATCGAGTGTCTAGGCCTTTTAGCATTATTCCACTTACATTGAGAGAACTAAAGAAATAATAACCATAACTCTTGCTAGAACAGTTTACAGCCTAGTTAAAATGCCAAAATGAAGACGTGGTAAGCGTTTTTATATTATTTTACCTACCATCTGGGTAGAATGGAGTAATTAAGAAACCTGTCTCTGCATAGTTCTGAATAAAATAGTTTAAAACGTCAATTTGATACGTTCTAAATTTGGAAGATCAAATCATTTAACATTAAATCAGGAGCCAATTTCAGAATATAGTCATTGCTCATGGAGGACTCTTACCCGACTTTTTGGGAGCTCACTGGTTGTTCCTTTAGAGACTCGTAAGAGTAAACATTCACATAAATAATAACGGTTTAAGAGTTGGTTAGTCGTCATGGCTACAGGGATAGGTCAAGTTTTTAGGTAAGGTGACTGGTATACTTCCATGAGATAGGGCAGAACATTACTAGTTCTACCACGGACAGCGAGTATTTATACACATATTGTCATTCTCCTGGAAATTTACAAACCTACCCCAGTAAGTACAAAGTTAATGAATGCTAAAAATAAAATATAAACTGTATAGAACTCAGTGGTCGATTTTAATAATGAGTTAGATGCCGCAGAATGTAAGATGTAGGTAAACGGACGCAAAAATCCTTGTTTTACAATGTCTGCATCTCCGTAGTACTGACATTTGAAAACTTTACTTTGCACATACTTATTTTAAGTACGATAAATGAAAGCGCTGTGGACTAGGAACAAGAGACAAATTGCTTTCTTGTCCAAATTGTCTCAGACCCTGTATTTTCTTAGTCATAGCCGTTTGTTAAGTAGGCATTTGGTAGACTATTGCATGGAGGATTGCGAGAGCAAGATATTACTATCTGCGGTGGAATGCTCGAATTTCTTCTCTCAGCAAGGATAATGGGTAGCACAGTCTGACTTTAGACCCATCCAGTGGTTCAGACTTATAGATAGTATCCCATACTTTACCGCAATTCCTTGTTGAATTAAGGCTTGCACTTCGAATACAGACTACACACTTCTGGGTCTGTCTTGTACCACATTGTCTGGCATAGGCGCTCACTGTATATTTGTTGAATGTTAAAGTTCTGTGCACCAAAACCGTGCACTTTGCATCGATTATCTGCGAAAAGCATGGTACACTAAAACTAGATCTTGAAGAATTCCCATTTGATCATGAATAGAGGTAATCCACGTTTAAAATACCAGGTGTTGCGTAATCTCTACTTGGAGATTAGCCACCCCGTGCGCCCAGGTGAAAGATATCATTCTTCCGTGCGATCCGAAGTGCCGTGGAAGTTAGTGCCCTAGCCCAGTCCAGGAGGAAGGGGCGTCGTGCCGGCGGTTTTAAGCTCGGAAGGGGCAGGGGAATGAGCCCAGGGACCCCAGCGGGGCGCAGGTAGGAGGCTGTGCGCTCGCCGGGTGCGCTCCGGCCCCGATTCCCAGCGCAGCCAGTAAGTGGCGCTGGGCCTCGGGTTTGGCGGCCCGGAGGAGCGGGCTGCGGATTACCTGCAGCAGCGGGGAGCCGCCGAGCTCCTCCCCGCCCGCCCCCACACCCCACCCCCACCGCTGCACTAACCCCGGCTCAGCTGGCTCCGCGCACTTGCTCGGAGGAGCCGGGGCCGAGCGGACCGCCGGCTGCAGGCAGCGAGCGCGGCTGGGCTGCGGGGCTGCTTCCCCGCGTCCTCCGGGCCCGGGCCGCCCTCCTCCCGCACAGTGCGGAGCAGGGAGGCCCCGCGCCTCGACCACCCGCGCCCGAGCGTCCGCGCCTCCTCCTCCGCTCTGCAGGCGGGGACCGCCCGGCGCTCGGCACCCGGCAGCGCGGCCCCCTCCAGCCCCCGGCTCCCGGCAGCAGAAGCAGAAGGCAGCGCCAGGGGCCGCCGCCGCCGCCGAGCTCCGCGGGGCTCGGGAGCCGGCCCCGGCGAGGAGGCGCGGAACCATGGCCGATGGGGGCGAGGGCGAAGACGAGATCCAGTTCCTGCGAACTGTAAGCGCCGTGCGTCGCGTGTGCTGTCAGGGGAAGGGGGCGTCAGGGCATCCACTAGCGGGGTCCGGGCAGAGTGACAGCGGGCAGCGGGGACTCGCGGGCGGGGCGAGGGGGTGCCCCCTGAGGATGCGGGAGGAGCGGGCATCACCAAGTGTGTGCAGGTGTGCGTGTTGGGGCGAGGGAAGGCAAGGGCGCGTGTCTGTGCGCGCGTGTGGAAAGCTAGAGGATGGAGCGCGGCTAGCCGGCGGCAGGCGCCCGGGCTCGGACCCGGGGCACCGGGGACAGGAGCGTCGGAGCTGCGGGAACCGGGAGAGGAGGGGACGGCCGGTCCGGCCTGCCTGGTGGCACGGCTGGGACCTCCCGGGCGGCCGGGGGCAGGGTGCAGAGCAGGGTGGCCCGTGGGGGCGCGGGGAGCGGCGGGAACTCGGGCTGTTTCTGGGAATACCGCCGCCGGGAGGTTTCTTGGGCTTTCGGGCTGGACCCGCGCGTTGTCACGGAGCGAAGACGTTGGTTCGCTTACTCCGTGTAGCGTGCGGCGCAGCTGACCGGGGGCGGGGGTGATGGTGCAGGACGCTGCGCGGAGGTTTCCCCCAAGTCAAGGTGCTGCGAAAGCGGAGGAGGAGTCGCCTCCGTGGTCCCCGCGGTTCCCGGGGCTGGTGCCATCCGTGGTGGTGCTGTGACCGCTTGCAAAGCGTGGAAGGCATGGGAAGCGAGCGTGTGTTTGCGTGTGTGCGCGCGCGCGGGTGGTGGTGGGGAGAACATCGTGAACGTGTCGTTCTCTAAATGCTGGCTTATTGCATGCCAAGTGAAGCAAAGTGTGTGTGTGTAAGTGTAAGGGCAGGGTGGCTGCCCGGGAAAGGTTGGCTCCACACTAATACAATTCTTTCTCCTTAAGTACCTCTTGGCACTGCTCCTTCCTTTCTCTCATTTGTTCGAACACTGCAGATACTTCCCAGGCTGAGGCATTGCACACCTCCAAGCTGGGACTGGAGAGCCTCTCCAGAAAAGAAAATGCCCTAACTTCCTGCTAATAATAACCTAGTTAGCATCCTTTCAGTCGTTCCTTCTCCACTTCTGTCCTCCTTCCCGAAGGATGTTCCCTTGCAGGATTCCCCAGACTTCCCCAACCTAGAACTGCAGCTTCTGCTGGTACTTCTTTCCTCAGCAGTACAAAAACAAAACAAAACAAAACAAACAAACAAACAAAACCACTTCCCGGTTACAGTTACCTATAATCACAGAAAATCGTAGATACGGTGGAATTTTGGAATATTAACTTTTAGGTGTGAAAATAGTCTTGATGTATTTGGGTACTAAACATATGAAAACAGCGAATTTGCAAAGGAACGTTGTAAACGACTGTCTCTTTCTCTTTTGTGCATTAAACGGACTGGGAGAAAGCTTTGGGAAGGATAAAAACCCAGGGTCCACATCAGATGACAACCTAATAGTAATCCAGTCTAATAGCTGCAGGTTATGCACCATTGCATATGCTTTTTGAAGTACTGTTGGCCCAAGACCGGGCTTGGAAGAGCCTCTTCACTAATACCTTGGTCACGGTGTATAAACCTGCTAGTAATACAGTTGTCTTTTTCATAGAAAATAGACTATAAGGGTTTTTTTTTTTTTAAGTAATTAACACCACATTAGATTTTTCTCAAAACTAAGGACTATTTTATTCAGGTGGACAAATACGGTTGCTGTATAATTTTTCAATCAATTCGTATCAAACTCTGTGGGGTTAAAACTAGCTGGGACATTTTGGTAGGCTTCATGCACTCAAGGGCTTCCTGCGGGCTTAACTGTTAAGCCGAGCTCATGGAGGTGGTGTTATCAGAATGCTTAATGGGGACCGAGGGAACGTGCTGGCTGATGAGGTTCTGCACATATCAAGTAATGTCAACTCTGTGCCACTCAGCAGCTGCCTGTCAGCTAGAGCAGCACCTTTGATAAGTGGGTCCTGGGTAGAGATCTGGCAGTCCCAGGCTGGGATTTTTCTTTTAATAAAACATCCGTAGGTTGCTGTGCTGACGACAAATGACCTTGAAGGAGGTGACACAGTGGAGCAGGGGGATTTTTTTTTTTTTGGTATAGCATTAACATCTAAAAGGAAAACATGCCTTTCCTCACAATTTTCCAATTTTCATATGGAAATTCTCAAATCCTTTACCGGCTTCTCCACCCATTACCCTCCATCCTTCCCTCCCCCACCCCCCTTTTTTTTCTCTTAACCTGAGAATGTTGGTGGTTCAGAAATGCTGATGGGGTGAATAATGGGGAGACTGTAGTATAGTTCCCACATTGAAGTCGCTTCTTTTTTTTCTGAGGGCATTTATTTCTCTGTCATGTGCAAGCTTGTCAATATGAGTTATTTCTTCTTCTTCTTCTTTTTTTTTTTTTTTAAAGCAAATAGCCCAAGGAGTATTAGGAATCTGTACATCTTGATAAAACAGTTGTAGATGGAAGAATTCTTGATAGTGATGGATGAAGCTGTTTTGCATAGAAAAACAAAAACAGTCATTAAGACACCGTAATTGTGAATTTGATGGGACATTTCATATGTCCTGATTAGAACATCTGGATTATTATCTTGAGCAGGTCATTGTCTATTGGATTTGTATTCAGCACCCCAGCACATTGAGGCATCTTTTTGACCACTGTCCACAGAAAGCTTTTTTGCTTTTCTTTTTTTAGAAGAGGTGTGAGATCACTGTTAAGGGAAGTAGAGGTGAAATCTTTAATGGGCTGTATCTGTGAGTTATGTATGCTGCTGTAAATTAATTCCTCATTTGCAAAGGGGTTTGTCACTGTTTAGCTTGTACCTGTCTCTCTGGCATCTCTGTTCCATTTGCTGCTGCTTGTCGAGTTGGCTCACATTCCTTCCAAATAGTTATGTAGATGAATGATCATTGATTCAGTGGCTCCCCCATCTGTTGGAAACCTGCCCACTTGGGTCTGTTTATCTTTGAGAGAGATTGAAAATATGTTTTTGTAAACTCTGGATATGCTGGGACACTTATTTTATGAGAGAAAAATCCTATCATAAAATAAGCTGTCAGCTTGTAATGGATTCATTCACTGTCATATCCAAACATATCCATGATTTGGAATGTGTGTTTTATTTTAAAGATTTTATTAACTTACCAATGTAGCATCAAACTGTCATTTGGCATTTAAAAACACGCATCTTTTTCGTTATGGTCCTCTTTTTTTTTTTTTTTCCAACAATCATACAGAATGTTATAGAAGATATTCCTCTGACTTTAGGAAAACCATGGTATAAAATGACCTTGGTCAAGGTTTTTTTTTTTTTTTTTTTTTTTTTTGAGTACTTTGTCTTTCTTTCATTTGTCTAAGCACAGTTGAGTTACCCTTGTGGTGTACTGTGTCATGTAGTTTTGTATTTACCCATAGATTGAGACTTAAAGCTTAGTCCTGGCTGTAAGAATGATCCTGATAGGAATGCTTACGGTCTTCCTCCTGTCTTCTTTTGCAGAATGAAGTATTTCATTATAGATTTCTTCTCAGTGTTCATACATCTTGTTCCACAATGACAAGAAGCATCTTTAAATATACTCATCTACAAATGGTGACAATTATGCAGTATAGATGCTGGTGTACAACACTGCATAGTAGTTTGGATGGGAATACTTAGCCCTAGTTTGTAGAGGTCCAGGAAGGTTAATGGTATGAAGTCAGTACTCAGCAGTGCAGAACGAGGACTAAAATTCAAATCTTAGGCTAATAGTGTTCTTTCCAGGAGAGAAAGGCTTCTTTATCTGCTGTTCAAGTATGTTTTAGGTTTATAGCAAAAGAATACCAAGTCAGTTTTCTCAGCTGTAGGAATGTCACAGAGTACAAAGGAAAAGATGGAATGAGCAGTGGAAATTCGCACTTTTTGCTCCCTTCATAATGAAGCTACGAGGAGCTTTAGATAGATATGCACTATGGTATTTTCCCAAGGAACTGATGGAAAGCCCACCCAGGCTTACATCATCAGACTTATTTTATTTTAACTTAGAAATTAGCATGTACACATTGGCAGGAAGGGCAAGATCTAAAACGCTTAGGGCACTAATTTATTTGACATTCAATTGTATTTGTACTTTGGCTTCAGATAAGTGTTTTTATCACGGCTGAATTACCCAAGAAAGGACTCCAGCAGCACTGGGTGACTGTGCTTCTTTAGATAGCTTTCGGGAGAGAGGGAGAGGTGATGAAGCACACATTTTTCCTGAAACTCTGACATTGTGGGAATTAGATTAATTCAGAAAACATTTGTTGAACACCGTCTGTATGCATAGCATGTTAAGGAAGTATTCCAAATAAGTAGGGAAGTGGTTTGCAGCTGTAATTGCAAAGAATAGATATAGAGGATGGCATGGAGCAATCAGAAGGAAAAATGCATAAACAAACTCCAAAACATTAGGGTAGGAAGAGGCCTTTAGAAAACATTACCCTGTCCACCCCATGCCTCTCTGATATTGCAGATAAGGAAACAAAAGCTCAGAAAGCCAAATGACTTGGCCCAGTGTCACACTCCAAGTTAGTGGCATTTAGTAATGGAGAGTATATGAAAATCTGTGAAGAATTTCCAGAAAGGAGGTTTACCAGCACATCATTCTTTATAGAGTAGATTTAAACCCACTTTTCCATTTTATCCTTAACTTGACCTTCATAGAGTTCTGTCTCCAAATCTGTCCTCTTGTCCTTCCAGCCAGTGAAAAGGAGGTTTCTTTTGTCTTTTCTAATGTTACAGTCCCTCACATGGCCTGAATCTTGGTCCTGGAAGCCAAGATTGGAATCCATCCTTTCTAGCCTTTTTTTTTTTTTTTTTGCCTCCCTATCCACTTACTCCTTCTGGTTTATCTTGAAGCCTGTTAATTTCTCCCATCTTAAAATGTCTGTCTTTGACCCGGATACCTTATTTGGTTGCTCCCCTCCTGCAGAAGTGGTCTTCTCCCACTGCTTGTACCCCTCTCCATGTAATTATCTAGCTTCTCTTCCTTCTTCAATTTACTTTCCAGGATGTTGCCAGTAACTCCCTCCTTGCCACGTCTAAATGTCCCTCTCTGTCCCTATTCCCTTAGATTCCTTCTCAAGCTCTACTACCCTGACTTTCCTTTTTGAAGCTACTCTTTTGACTTTGGGGACATGGTACCTTCTGGGTAATTTTTTACATTTCTGATCATGCTTTTTCCAGGTGCTTTTCATTCCTTTTACTCCAAGTGTGTGGTTATCCCAAAAGATTCTGTCCTATTTCCTGTTCTGGCTCTTCTGCCTTCATGAGCTTATCTATGTCACAAAATCTGGGATCTCTTGAATAACAGAGTCTGAAAAGACTTAACAATGACTTCATCCAGCTCTGAGAGCCAGAGAGATGAAAGGAATGTTCCCAAAGCGACTCTTTTTTGTAGGAGAAACCCACCGTAGATTCGACAGCCCTGGGCCTTCACTTCAAGCCTCTGTTTAGACTTCCCTCTTGCCTCTCGGACCCCAGAAACACCAGCTTGACATCATTGCCTGTTCGGTTCCCTAAGCGACTTTCCTTCCTAGTGTCTCTGCTGATCAGTGGCACTGCCGTTTGTGGCTGTGGCTCCAGTGTGATCCTAACCTTCAGAAGACCTGAGTCTGAGGCCGGAATCCACCAGCACCTAGCTTTACGGACTTAGAACAACAGTGCCTGGCTCATGGGAGTGGCTCAATGCATTTGTCTAGTTCTCTTTCTTCTCTTCTGCATCTAATTTGTCATCATAGCCCATCGTGTTTCTCTTTGCAATCCAACTCAGATTTCGATGTGTTTCATACTCCGTTAGCTTCTTGTTCTGATCCCAGTACTCATTTCAACCTTCGTCATCCTTCCTCCTGCAACAAATCGGCAACCCACCTAGAATCCGCCTGCCATTTTAGTCCTCCTGAAACCCTCGTGTCCATCTCCCAGCCTCAGCTCACATCCTTGCATATCCTGTCTAATTTCTCTACTTGGCCTTTTATGATCTGCCCCTTGATACCTTGCTTATGCTTTTCATCCTACACAGAGTTTTCTTGGATCACTCTAACCAATTCCGATTTTACCTTTCTCCGACCATTTATCACTAATAATTAATAAAATGTATGGAACTGATTGGGAAACTCAAGCAATGGTCAGAGAATGCTCTGACCCTGATGCTCTGTGGGTGAGTTGGGACCGTGTTGGGCATCGGTTTCCCATGATGCTTGGTGCACTGTTAACTACAAGGACAGACTTGAGAGAAATCTTGTGGCAAGGAGAAGATCGGGACAAGAGAAAGGATCCTCCTGCCCACAAGTTTAATGTGAACATCACTTGAATGCGTCCAAATGCAGAAAGAAGGAACCTGCTATGAAGGAAGTAGGCAAAGATAGTGGGGGTGGAAGAATAGAGGTAAGATCTCTTCTGGAAGCAGAAGAGTAGGAGTGTTGGTGGGTGAAATTCTGAGATGAGGACACCGGAGGTGTGTAGGGTGAGAGAGGCCAGGTGATGATTGCTGCTTTGGGAGGCCGCAGTGGCTCCCAGGTCCAGTGGGAGGGGACACCCGGAGAAGGCAATTAGAGAGAGGGAAGTTACAGTCACTAGAGCAAATGAACAAAGGAGAGTAAGAGAATAAATTAAGGATTAATTGAGTCTGAGTGATTAGGGCTGCCCAAAAGAAATACTGGTTTAGAGTCAGAAGCTGTATTTCAAATGAGCAGCTGTCAGGGGGTGAGGTGACTTCCAGGGGCACTGTTAGAGTGTCCAGTGGATCAGTTTCATCCCCTTACTTTCCTCTTTATTAATCACGGGAAGAACATTGGGATGAGGACCCTGCCAACAAATGGTTGTGTGACCTTGGGGCTGGTGGGGTCAGATAGAGATTTGTTTGAGAGAGGTAAAATGGGGAGGTTGTTTTCTCAGAGGGACTTGCGGTAATTTCCATTGTCATGTTCGTAGTCTTAGGGTCAACCAGACTCAAACCATTCTGCAGGATGAGCATAACAAAATCTCACCCTGGGACTGGAAAGAAAAGCTTTGAATGATCCTGGGGTCCCTGGAAATCCTCATCCTGGTGGATTACAGGCCCTGAAAGCTGACAACAAGCTTTGAGCCAGGATTCTTGATGATGGGTGGTTTTCTTTCAGGGAAGAGGAGATGTTAACAATAAGAGAAGCTTGCAGACAGGCATTTAGAAGGAGCTAGGAGAAGAATTCTCTCATGTCAGTAGCCCTCTTAGGGACTACTTAGGTTCGGATCCATTTAGTAACTGAACTCCTAGTGAGCTTGTTTGCAAATCCTCTCTATTGTCCCAGCCGTGAAGTACTTCTCTGGCTTCCATAGTTACCTTCTCCCTGGCTGGTGAAGAAGTGGCCCATGTTTCTGGGGTTTCCCAGAATGTTACAGTCAGCCTCAAAGCCCATGTGGAAGGTATATTTCCTGGTTTCTATTGCAAAAGTTCTGTAGTGGTGTTGCTGCAATGAAATGGAAGTCCAAGGCATTCCCTGTTAGTGACGGAGTGTTCAGAGGACCTACACGTAATTGCTTTCATGTTCGTTACCCAAGTAGGGGACAGAGAGAGAGGAGCCACTGACACGTGAACCCAGGGAGACCTCCCCTGGATGGCTGGGTGCAGGTACTTACCACCCACCAACCGATGATGAGTATCTGCCAATTTACTGGAAGAAAACCTGAAATCTAGCTGTGGAGCCAAGATAGATGCAGAAGAAAGCGAGTGGAACAGGAGAAAGTGTATAGGAACTCAGAGGCTGGCAGGGCCTTCCTGAGTCTGGGAAGGGCTGAGGCGGGAACGAGGACACATTTGCTCCCTGGGACACGTGGTTCTTAGTGTGCAGGGGAAACCCGCATGTGGTCACTGAGGGAGAGGCACAGGCCCACACATCTCATCACCATGAAGGAAGGAACAATTCAATGTGGCCAATTTGTTTTTCTACTATGGCAAGCACTTTTTTTCCTTTAACATTTTTGGTATTTTAAGAGTTTTTGCACATTTATTCTGCTTCTAATGAAGTTTTAATTGTTTCTCTTTCCTCCTGAGTTTAGAATCTGATTCATAATGTACATGGGAACCCATGAATTTCACTCATATTTAATGCATAACCAAAGATATAAACTGAAATGATACATTTTGAGAAGATCAAGAAAAGAAAAAGAAAGCTTACAGGAAAAATGATATCCTTAGTCTTGAGTCAATTGGGATATTGTTAAAATGAAGCCGAACAGCACACTGAGGTGATAGCCACTAGAAGTTGTATTCTCTTCTTTTCCACAGCAGGTTTCTGGTTTTCAAAATAAAAGCAATTATGATTTAAATTCTTCTAGCTTTTGCTAGAGTTTATATTTATTTCATAATCAAAGAAACTTTACATGAGGAAAGTTCGGTCTCACACACACGCACACATGTGTGCACAAATGAATGAAAGATATTCCACCATATTTTTTTTCACCAATTTTGACTGTGGTGTAGAATTCAGTTAAATTAGTTCATGTGTAGCAGTGAATTGTCTGTTGATCTCTGTTATTTCTTCCAGTGCTTTGGGGTTTTTATTTTTATGGTTCCTTTCCCTTTGTCTTTCCCTTTCCCTCCCCTCCCTTCCCCCTTCCCTCCTTTTCCCTTCCCTCCCTTTCCCTTTCTCTCCCCCCCCTTCCTCCCCTTTCCCTCCCCTTCCCCTCCCCTTCCCGTTCCCTACCCTCTCCTCCCCTTCTCTCTCTCTCTCTCTCTCTTTCTCTTTATCTCTCTCCCTCCCCTCCCCTCCCCTCCCCTCTCGTCTTCTCTCCTCTTCTCTCCTCGGGGCTCATGAGTGAGTTACTTTTGAGAGATGCTATTTTGATAGTGGCAGGACCAGCAACAAACCTGTACCATCTCAGCATTCAGGAACAATGGTGTCCACATGTCTTTTTGAGGTTGTACAGGGCATTCTTAAGGCACATTTGAATAGTCCCACAGGCTGAGAGGAGTTCCTCTGATCTTAAATACAGCATCAGCCTGAGGAGTAACCATTTCTAGTCAGGAGATCAGAGCTTTTTTACGCCGTGGCCTACCTACTGCTGTTGGCAACTTTATTTCTTGTAGGTGCATTGATATGTAATTGTCTGGCAGGTCTGTTCTAAGCATTGCATGTGTATTTTCTCATGAAATCCCTAGAAAATCCCTCAGAGGTAGCTACCTGCAAAGAAGTGAAGTGAGCCCAGTGTTTGCAGACACAGGCAGTGGAGCGACAGTTTCAGACCTGGGCAGGCTGGCTCTAGAACTCTCACTTAATCTTGCCATACAGGGGCCCTTTCTGCTGGAGATGGACATATTTTAAAATGAGAGGGAAACTTGGTGCCCTGCTTCTACCTGCAGGAAGTTACTTTATAATATCAAATGTGAATTTCTTACATTACCAGAGCCTTGCAGGCTGTGTGCCACATCATAGGTCCTGTGTTTAATGTTTGTGGAATTGCATCGAACTGATTCCATGAGATAGTATTTTACATAATAAATACAGAGTAGGGTAATTATATGCAGTTTACTAGGGTACCTTAATGCAGTGTGTGTGAACGGGATACCTCTTTTATCTGTAGCATTATACCAGGTACCTAAGAGATACCATGAAGGTGGAAGCCATAGTTCCCGTAGAGTTCAGATGCTCAAACAGTGAAACCTTATATGCATCAACCTGGGAACAGTAAGCTTATGGTTCTAGGGGGATTGTGTCCTGTGTAAAATTCAGAGGGTCCAAAAGGTGAAGAGATGATGGATGTGGTCATGATATTGGGCTCCAAAACTCACGGAGTAAATGGCCAATGGTGAAGTAAATGGTGGTAAAAGCAGAGATTCTATTTCATTATAAAATATGAAAAAAACATGAAAGGCAGAATCCAGACTATAGAACAACATGTAAGGCAGGAATTAAAGTTTCAATGAAATGCCGCCTTGATCTCTAAAAGTGCTCCAAAATCTCTTTTGTAGCGTTTCAGGAAATTTTGATTCATTTTATTTTTGAAACAGTTGACATTTGGGGGAGTGGGCTAAGGGATGAAAATATGTTTTAAAGTGCTTGTTTTTTTAAGGACAATATTTTCAAGAACTGTACTTCAGGAGCATGTCACAGTTATGAGCCTGTAGGCAAGAACAGGGTTTTTTTTTTCCTCTCCTTTTAGGGAAGAACAACATATTGAAGGATGATTAAGACACTTGAAAAATGTAACAGAAACATACACACACACGCATTGCATACACAGGATCCAATCCCTGATGCCCTTTGCCTCTCTTCTTGTTTTATTTCATTTATTTATTTATTTTTAGACAGAGTCTCACTCTGTTGCCAGGCTGGAGTGCAGTGGTGTGATCTTGGCTTACTGCAACCTCTGCCTCCCAGCTTCAAGTGATTCTCCTGCCTCAGCCTCCTGAGTAGCTGGGATTACAGGTGCCCGCCACCATGCCAAGCTAATTTTTGTATTTTTAGTAGAGATGGGGTTTCACCATGTTGGCCAGGATGGTCTCGATCTCTTGACCTCATGGTCCGCCCACCTCAGCCTCCCAAAGTGCTGGGATTACAGGTGTGAGCCACCGCACCCAACCCATCTCTTCTTATTTTTTAGACTATCCCGTTAGTTCCCTTTGGTCTTGGACATGTCTGTCATGACATGTTTCCAAGGCCAATGCCCACAGCTGGGAGTCATGATCAGCTTACACGTCCTGGCTTGTAGGTTCGACGAAACGTCAGGAGAACATTTCTTCTTCAGACAAATGAAAAGCTGAGATGAAACGTTTTTGATTGATGGCTGTCAGAGAAGCGTAAAAACTTCAGCTTCACTGCCATTCCCTTTGTGACAGGGAAGGGGCCATCATCTCCTGAAGATGGGGGTGTCATTATTAAGTCTAAATGTCCTGCTCCCGTCATGAAGAATTGCATCACACAGAAGCCTGCAAAGTCAGCCCGACTTGAGTCAGTCCTACTCACACCAAAGAGGATACGGAAACTGGTGAAGGATAAGAGACAATTGTGATTTCACCTCTTCCTGCGCCAGCGCCCGGTCTCTTCTCCTTCATTCTGAAATGTTCGTGGACTGCCTGCTACGTGCCATGCTTCTTGCTGGACTTATATCCACGCTTGTCCTGCCTTTAAAGAGCTTATTCTGTCTCTATGGGTGGGATAGGGAATAAGGAAAACGCAAATATTCTACTACACAGTGGACATAACAATCAGAAAACCGTCAGAGGAAAGGATGTTGAGGAGGGAGGGATCCGTGTCCCAGGAGTACCATTATCTAAGGCTTGGTGGAGGAGGCAGCATTTCCAGTCACAGAATTCTCAGACTGAAAAGGATCTTCAGGGATCAGGGTCTAACCCCTTTATAGTGAAGGAACATGAAAGGACAAGTATATTGGCCCACATTATTCCGCTCAGACAGGATAGCTGCAATTCATTTGATTCCTGGAACAATCCATTTAGTCTATAAAGCGGTTAATTGCATTAATACAGATCAGGAAACTGAGTTGCAAAGAGGTGAAATGACTTGTTCAAGGGCAATTAATGAGTAAGTGATGTTGCTGGCGAGCCCAGGGTTTTCAGATGCCAAAGCCCTTCTTTCTCCTTCCTCCCTCCCTCCTTCCCTCCCTCCCTTCTTCCCTTCTTTCCTCCCTTCCTTCCTTTTTCTTCCCTCCTTCTCTCCCTCCCTTTATCCATCACTTCCTCCCTTCCTTCCCTTTTCCTCCCTCCCTCCCTTCCTCCTTCCTCCCTCTTCTCCCCTCCCCGCCTCCCCCCTCCCCCCCTCCCTCCATCTGTCAGGAAAAATGGTAAAAGACTGTAAATTGGATTATAAGGAATGATTTATGGCTGTCCTATCACATTTGTCCATTTAGGTTATCTGTGCTTTTCACTTGTCTGGGAGCTATCTTACTGCTCTTAAATTGTGGAAAACTGATAGTAATGATTCCTGAACTGTTGATTCTTGATTATAGAAAATGCAAATTGTGTCTACTAGAATGCAGTTGTAGATACCGAGTGGGTTTATTCTTCTCAAGCAAATTCATCTCAGCCTTCCTGATGGGCTGATATCTCTGTATGTCCTTTGGAGTCTCCTTTGAACCTGCTGTGATACCACACTGGTTCTTTAGTGAAGAAATTAAATAAAATCTTTGATGTGTTCATTTTGTCTTTGTTTGAGTCGTATTTTTACTTTAAAAAAAGTTACCTTCAACACCACTACTATGCCTCCTAAAGTAAAAGTGAGTGGGATCTTGCTGAATTTGGGTGGGGAGGGCAGGAAGACAGGACAGATGAAAGAGGAAGGTGAGTGGGGGCCATGTGTTGTTTCTTCTGTCTCCCCATCCCCAGGGCCACTTTCCAGTCTTCTCTGCCCTGTTCTATGTTCAGGAGCCTCCTACTCTAGATGGTGCCGGGAGCACTGTTTCCTTTCCTTGTTGGCTCAGATCCAGGGCTGGGGACAGTTTCCCACTGTTGCTGGTCCCTAGAAGTCCCACCTCTGTCGGATCCTGTCACGCTCCCAGCCCGCACCTTGGTAAATGATCCCTCATTCACCTCTCTTCAGTTAAACCCTTGAGAGTGCCATTCCCTTCCTTGATGAGACCCTGATGCGAAGGCGGGAAGCACGGTGACACGTTTGGGAGAGAGATGACGGGCGAGTACTGCTGTGTCATCCTGGGGGGACTGGGGAGCCCTGAGACCAGGGTCAGGGATTTGTTCTTAATTCATAAGGTAAAAGGGGCCCTGGAAGTTATTCTTTTTTCTCCTTCTCAAGGGAGAAAAATGGGTCAGAGCTGTCCATTAGAAAGATTAATGGGGCAGCAATTTATAAGATAAATTGGGATGTAGAGAGATCAGAGCGGGACCGGAGCTGAGAAGCCTATTAGGAGACAGTCACCACGGAGCTGGTGCAAGATAATTCGGGCCTAAATTTGGGTGGTAGTTGTGGGAATAGAAAGGAGCGGGAGCTTTAGGACACAGTGGAGAAAGGGTTTATGGGGTTGGTAACTGATTAGATACAAGAAGAGGAAAAAGACAAAGCTGAGCTTCAGATGGTGTTGGTCATATGGAAATCAGGAGGAAGGGGAGGTTTCAGGGGAAGGCAGTGGGATTTATTTTGGATGTATTTATTTTGAGATATGTTATGGACTGAATTATGGCTCCCTAAAAAGTATGTTGACATCCTAATCCCCAGGACCTTAGAATGTGACCTTAATGGGAAATAGGGTCTTTACAGAAGGAATCAAGTGAAAGTGAGGCCATTAAGCTGGCCCCTGGTCCTATATGACTAGTGCCCTCCTAACAAGAAGGGATTAGGACGCAGGTCCACACAGAGGGAAGATGGTGTGAAGATACACAGGGAGCACACCTGTGAGGACTGGAGCACTGCACCTGTGAGGACTGGAGACCGTACTTGAGAGGACTGGAGCACTGCATCTGTGAGGACTGCAGCACTGCACCTGTGAGGACTGGAGCACTGCACCTGTGAGGACTAAAGACTGTACCTGTGAGGACTGGAGCACTGCACCTGTGAGGACTGGAGCATTGCATCTGTGAGGACTGAAGCACACTTGCAAGGACTGGAGCATCGCACCTGTGAGGACTAGAGACTATACCTCTGAGGATTGGAACACTGCACCTGTGAGGACTGGAGCACTGCACCTGTGAGGACTGGAGCACTGCACCTGTGAGGACTGGAACACTGCATGTGTGAGGACTAGAGACTATACCTGTGAGGACTGGAACACTGCACCTGTGAGGACTGGAGCACTGCACCTATGAGGACTGGAGCCCTGCACCTGTGAGGACTGGAGCACTGCACCTGTGAGGACTGGAGCACTGCACCTGTGAGGACTGCAGCACTGCACCTGTGAGGATTGGAGCACTGCAACTGTGAGGACTGGAGCACTGCACCTGTGAGGACTAGAGACTGCACCTGTGAGGACTGGAGCACTGCACCTGTGAGGACTGGAGCACTGCGTCTGTGAGGATTGGAGCACTGCACCTGTGAGGACTGGAACACTGCACCTGTGAGGACTGCAGCACTGCACCTGTGAGGACTGGAGCACTGCACCTGTGAGGACTGGAGTACTGCAGCTATGAGGACTAGAGACTGCATTGTGAGGACTGGAGCACTGCACCTGTGAGGACTGCAGCACTGCACCTGTGAGGACTGGAGCATTGCATCTGTGAGGACTGGAGCACTGCACCTGTGAGGACTAGAGACTGCATCTGTGAAGACTGGAGCACTGCACCTGTGAGGACTGGAGCATTGCATCTGTGAGCCAAGGAGCACTAGGGCTGAGAGAGGCATGGAACAGGTTCCCCCTCCCACCCTCGGAAGGAACCAGCCCTGCTGACCCCATCTCGGACTCTGGGCCTCCAGAGCTGAGAGATAATACATTTCTGTTGCTTAAGCCACCCAGTCTGTGATACGTTATTATGGCAGCAGTAGGAGTCGAATTCAAGGCACAAAGCTAGAAGTGTGGATTTAGTGTTTTGGAGAGAGGAGTGACCCAGTGAGGCAGATTGGAGGCCACTGGTGTGATTGAGAAACCACAAAAATGGACCAGATGATCTGGGAGGAGCATGTAGAGGAGTCAGCAACAGAGGCTCAGACGAAGGTGACTGAGGAAACTTCTTTTTTTTTTGGACGGAATCTTGCTATGTCGCCCAGGCTGGAGTGCAGTGGTGTGATATCGGCTCACTGCAAGCTCCACCTCCCGGGTTCAAGCGATTCTTCTGCCTCAGCCTCCCGAGTAGCTGGGACTACAGGTGTGTGTCATCACGCCCGGCTAATTTTCTGTATTTTTAGTAGAGATGGGGTTTCGCCACGTTAGCCAGGATGGTCTCGATCTCCTGACCTTGTGATCCACCCACCTCAGCCTCCCAAAGTGCTGGGATTATAGGCGTGAGCCACCGCGCCTGGCCCTGAGGAGACTTTTGATGTGATCATTATGGGAGTCTCTGCGAGGAGGTTGAAAGTAGACTCCCGATTGCCAGAGACCCAGAAGCAACAGAGCAGCAGTAAATAGAGGCAGATGATATAGACAATCTTTTCACCCCATGTGCTGAAGAGGAAGAGAGGAGGTGGGAGCTTGAAAGGGGAGGAAGGGTAAAAGTTAGGGATGCTTTTCTTTTCTCATGAAAGAGACCATAATCTAAGGTTGTAGAGGAGAAGTGGTGATTGATGTTGCAAGTTCCTAAGTACAAGATGGGATAGAGATGCCCCCCAGCCCCACCAACACACATCACCATTGTTGGGCACACGCCTAAGCTGATGCATCGCCTCTCTTTGCAGATACCTAATTACTGCTTTTCTTAATTCGAGAGCACATACGATTTTCATTTGCCTTTGGTTTAGCTTTGCATCATTTCATTTTCTGCTAGGGACCTTTTGATCATTAAAATTAGAGCTCTATAAAGCTTTGTTGGTTCAAAGCTGGGCGTGTTTTGTTTGCAATTTGCAGTGGTTTGGTGATGAAATAATCCAGCTAGGCTTGAAGCAAGCATGTCTCATTAAGACAAATGGGAGAAGCTGATATTGCTGGCGGGTTTTTTCTCATAGCTGTTAACTCAAAAAGAAGGTAGGGCTTATATAGGTAATTATGTATACTATTAAGCAAATAGTCAGTCTAGGGATATATTGGAGGGATTTTCTGAAAGCTCAGGTCAGGGGAAAATGTTGAAATATCTTAGGAAACAGAATGATTCTGCTGGTAGTGACTGCCCTCAGCTCTCCTACTATGATAGGATCTGGCTAAGAAAATTCCAGTAATTTTTCAGAAAATTAGCAATTTATATTTTGAGAGTTTTTTCCTCCACATTTTTGTGTAATTGGCACTATGCTGTACATATAATTTGTTGCTTGCAAAGCACTGTCTTTCAAAAAAATCTAACCAGTAAATCTATACAGTATTTACATGTGTAAATTCCACATTTGTTCCATACTTCACACTGTTGATTTAAAGGTAAAAGCTTTCAACAAATGTCTGCACTTAACAACAGAGCATATATCTTCATCTCTTTTGTGTTCTGAATGAGCACCTATAACACTTTCTCAAAAGGAATCTTCCTTGGAGGCGGGGCGTGGTGGCTCACACCTGTAATCCCAGCACTTTTGGAGCCAGGGCGGGCCGGATTACTTGAGCCCAGAAGCTTGAGACCAGCCTTCCTTCCTCCCCGGAGACTTCACCATCTTCTCACCTGGTTAAGGTGCTTAGAGATGCTGGTCTGGAGAAGGGGCGGGGGGCCGGGGGGCGGGGTGTTCAGTAACAATCAGGTAGCAATTAGAAGGTGGGAGATAGCGCCTCACATTTTTTACTGTAGAGTGATAAAAAAAAAACCTGCCATATCTACTGCTTATTGAACATTCTCTAGTTTTGGTCCTGACTAGTACATTTTCTGCAGAAATTTTTTTTTGAATTTCACATGTCTAGCAGAACGAGAAATCTGGCATACATTACAACCAACCAAAACATTGCTCTGGACAGGCCTAAAACAAGGACCTGAACGTCAGTAGAGAATGGAATCAGCGATTCCATAAATGACACCAGTTTCATGCAGTCACACAGTAGGGAGGGAACAGAGATCATTTCCGCATTTCCCTCTAAATGGGCAAACTAAAGCCCACAGTTTTGTTAAGAGGGTGCTGTGTATAACTCAGATGCCTTACTGGGATACAGAAATGGACTTTAAAATCTCGGGGTTAATAATGATGATGCCATTGCCATCTAACGTGAATAATGGGGCAGACTAAAATCTGACCCAAACAGAATCTGATAAATAAATCAAGGAGAAGGACTTGCAAATCTTTGCATAAGAGAGGAGATGAGTAATGACACCCTCTTTTGCTTGTTGTTCATACCACCAGGAGTCGAGAACTCTGCATAACTTAGCAGTACAGCTTCCAAGAAGGGCCCTGATATTGTGGATAAATGGAGTCTATTTTTAAGGTTAGATAAATCCAGCCTATTTTTGTGGGCAGGGAAAAATTATTGCTGAAGTGTTTTTGATAAGATTCTTCTGTGCCATAAACTGAAATACTGAGAGTATAACAGTTTTTCATAAGAGGAAAGGAAGAAAAACTACTGTAAGTTATGGGAGACTAAGGCCATGTATTTATTTGGGGATTGCATTAATAAGTTTTCAAGCATTCACTTTTATTTAGCTACATGATCGGCTTTGTGGTTGTCCCAGTTCATGAAGAATGCCATAAATATTGGATTGACCACGGTTGATAATTTTTACTGCATGATAATACTATGAATGTATTGGATGGAACCATGATTCCAATATATGTGTATTCTTTCATTCAGCAAAGATATATATACTCACTACCTCCTGTGTGTCAGGTGTCTGTAGGGTGCTGTAGACTTATACTTAAAGCGTTCTTCTTCATTTGTGTTTTAAAATGGTTTCCACATAGTTATTAATAAGACTCCTAAATGGGAAGGTGCTGAGGCTAGAATCTGATGGCCAACCAGGTAAGATTTCCTTCAAAGTCTGTGTCAAATCAGTTCTACATTTCTCTACATCCAGTCTACATTTTTCTATTTTATTCATAGGGATATTAACAAGGAAGATTAAATGCTGGCTGAAAGCTCTCATATTTGTATCCACAGAAATACAAATTATATATAAAATTATATGATTACTACCATTATCATGATTATGTTCTTAGCCTTTCCGAATTCCTGTTATACGCAAAGCATTCTACTTAACTCCATGGGTATAATGGGATATATAATCCTTGCCCACAAGAAACTATTACCAACACTAATTTATTAGCCTTTCATAGACTGTTTTTTTCCCCTGCTAAATCTTTCTTAAGTAACTTTAAAGGAAACTTAAAAATTGAAGTGTAATATATTAACATACAGATAGTAAAGTACATAAATCTTAAGTGTACAGCTTGATGAATATTTGCAGTGTGAACGCAGTTGTGTAACTACCACTCACATTAATGCATTGAATGTTACCATTACCTGCAAGCCTCTCTAGCACCCCCTCCCAAGAGTTACCTGCCTTTCCAAAGGTTACTACTCTATGGACTTCTAGAAAAATAAATTAATTCGGCTTGTTTTTCCACTTTGTGCAAATGGAATGACAATGCAATATGCACTCTTTTGTGTCTAGTTTCTTTTGCTTCATTTATATCAGAGATGCATCCATGTTGTAGCTCCTGGTGGCTTAGTGCTGTATGCTACAATTCATCTATCCATTCTGTTGATAGACAATGGGTTGTTTCTGGTTTCACTAATAAAAACAAAGCTGGTACTAATATTCTCAAATATGAAAGATTTAAATATTTAAGTGAACACCTGAAATAAGGGTATGTATACATTTCTGCTGGATATATACCTATGAGTAGAATTGCTGATTGGGTTATATATATGCTCAGCCTTCTAAACACTTTTCCAAAGTAGTTGACTCAGTTAACATTTCCACTAGCAGTACTTAGTAAATGTTGGTTTCAAAAAAGTAGGAATCATTATGGTGGATGTATAGAGGGTTTCATTGTGACTTTAATTTTGCATTTCACTGACAACTCATGATGGGGAACACCTGCTTTGTATCTTTAATGTCCATTTGGATATACTGTATTCTTTTGTGAAATACCTATTCAGGCTTTAGCCTGTTTTAAAAATACGGTTGTTCTATCTATCTATCTATCTATCTATCTATCTATCTATCTATCATCTATCTATCTATCCATCTATCATCTATCTATCTATCTATCTATCTATCTATCTATCTATCTATCTATCTAATCATCTCTCTAGACAGAGTCTCATTCTGTTGCCCAGGCTGGAGTGCAGTGGCACAGTCATAGCTTGCTGCAGCCTTAAACTACTGGGCTCAAGGGCTCTTTCTGCCTCAGCCTCCCAAGTAGCTAAGACTACAAGTGTACAACCATGCCAGCTAATTTAATTTTTTGTAGAGATGAGGTCTTACCATGTTGCCAAGGCTAGTCTCAATCTCCTGGCTTCAAGTGCTCCTTCCAAAGTGGTAGGATTACAAATGTGAGCCATGGTGCCTGACCAGAATTGTCTTTTTTAAACATTAACTTTTGGGGAGTATTTTATATGATGTGAATAGGAATCTTTTGTTAGATACGTCTATTGCAAATATCTTTTCCAACACTCTTGCTTTTCCCCCCTCTGTTACTGATGTTGTTAGTGTCGAAGAGCAGTTTTTCACTTTAATGAAGTCCAGATTATCAGTTTTTTTAAATCATGGTTTGTGGTTTTTTTTTTGTATCTTCTTTGCCTACCCAAAGGCTGTTCTCCCATGTTATCTTCTACAGCCTTTACTATTTTAAGGCTGATATTTAGGTCTGTGCTCTTAGAATTGATATTTTGTTTATAGTTTGAGGTAGAGATCAGTCCCTCCACCTATGGATGTCCAATTGATCCAGGACTAGTTATTTAAAAGGCTACCTTTTCATCACTGCATTGCAGTGGTACCTGGGTAGTAAGTCAGGTGGCTGTAAGCAGGGATATCTATTACTTGACTCTCTTTTATTTCATTGGTCTATTTGTCTTTTCTTGTTCCAAATTTATAACTTTTAAATTAACTCCAGATTTCTGCTGTTTTGTTATATGTTGGTGTTCATCTTCTAACTTTGCTCTAAGTCTTCAAAATTATCTTTGCTATTCTTGGCTCCTTTCATTTCAGTTTAAATTTTAGAATTAGCTTATAAATCTCCACAAGATGAGCTGCTGGAATTTTTAATGAAATAGCATCAAATCTGTAGACCCGTTTGAGAAGAATTAACATCTTTTCGATATTAAGACTCCCAATCTATGAACATGGTATATCTTTCTTTTATATATTTAGATATTTTAAAATTTCTCTCAGTATTTGCACTTAGTTTTCCATGAAAGACTTTGCACATTTTGGGGGTCAGATTTATTTCTAGGTATTTGATGTTTATTGATGTCAATGCAAATGTATCTTTAAAAAATTGTTTCTTAGACTGTAAAAATATAATTGACTTTACATTTGACCTTGTATCTAGTAACCTTGCCAAGTTCACTTATTAATTCTAATAGTTTATAGATTCTTTTGGATTTTCTATATGCCCAGTCATGTCATCTGTACATACTGACCATTTTATTTTTTGCTTCTCAGTTTTCATTTCTTGTTATTGCCTCATTGTACTTCCCAGGATCTTTGTAAATGCTGACTAGAAGACATGATAGCAGATCTTTGATCCTTTCCCTCAGTTTCAGGGAAAACTTAAGAGAATTTCATCAAGGATTTTATGATGCTTGCTGTGGTTTACTAAGCTGTTTTGTTTTGTTTTTGTTGTGTTTGGCAGCTGAATTCTGCCTTGTATTGGGAGTCTTACACTGTGCATATGCAGCTTAAAAATATCAGTTTAGAATTATGATTTTACTGTTTTTTTTTTTCTGTTAGTGCAATGGACTGTTTGTGCCTACCCCCAAAATTCTTATGTTGAAATCTTAACCCCCAATGTGATAGTAGTGGGAGATGGTAGATGATTAGGTCATGAGGGTAAAGCCTTCATGAGTGCAATTAATGCCTTTATAAGAGAGATGAGAGAGCTCTCTTGCTCTACCATGTGAGGACACAATGAGAAAACAGCAGGCAGTCTGCAACCCAGAAGAGGGCCTTCACCAGAACCTGGCCATGCTGGCTCTCTAATCTCACACTTCCCAGCCTCCAGAATGGTGAGAAGTAAATTCCTGTTGTTTATAAGCCACCAGGTCTGTGGGACTTTGTTGTAGCAGTTTGAACTATGATATTTATTTTATTTATTTTTTCATTTTTTGCCTTTCTTTAGATTAATATTTATTAACAAGCTTCTATTAGCTTGTGAGTTATTCATTCTTTTATTACTCCTTCAGTGTTTACACTAGAGATTATAATATCGTTAATTTATTAGTATCTACCTTAAATGAATACTTTTATATTTTTCTGGAAATGCGAGTCTGTTTATATAATACTTTAAATTTATTTATCCTCTCTTTTTGTGCTCTTCTGGCTATGTATTTTAATTCTACACACACACACACATACACACTCTCTCTCTCTCTCTTCAACTCCTTAAGACATTATTATTATTCTTTAACAGTCAGAATTCATGTAGATTTACTTATATGTTGCACTGTCTAGTGCCTTTCCGTTGTCCTGCTTGCCATGCTGTCATCTGGGATCATTTTGCTGCTGTCTGAAGAAGTACCTTAAGATTTATTTTATGATGGGTTTACTGACAAGATATTCTCTCAGTTTTTGTTTAAAAACATCTGTGTTTCTCCTTGTTTGCGTATGGAATTGGCAGTTGTTGGTGATCCACCCCCGACCCCACCCCCAGCAATTCTGGCTTCCATTATTTCTCTTTGGAAGGTCAGCTGTAAGTCTCACTGTTTTCCTTTAAAGGTGATATTTTCATTCTATTTATCCTGCTTGAGGTTTGTGGAGTATCTTGAATCTGAGGCTTGGTATTTTTCATTCATTTTGGAAAATTCTTGGCCAGTATTTCTTCAAACATTGCTTCTGCCTCATTCTCTCTCTCCCTTCTTTTTGGGATTCCGATGATAGATATTTTGCTCCTTTTTCTCATGTCTCTTTTACATTCTTTTCTGTATTTTCATTCCTTTTATTTTTTCTTTGTACTTAATTCGGAGTATTTCCCACTGACCTTTCTACCAGTTCATAAATCTCTTTTTGCTTTGTCCAGTCAGCTGGTAAGTCCATCTACTGAATTCTTAAATTTTGAGCTGTTTTATTTTTTAGTAATTGGTTTTACATTTGGTTCTTTTTCCAGATTCAAATTCTGTTGTAACATTCTTCCTCTTCATCTATTTTCAAATATATTTATTATTGTAATAAATAAGCATAATACATGTATCACATTTACGTTTGTTTCTCTTTCCTTTTCTTCCTCTTGGTTTTCAGATATTTGGTCTTATTTTCTGGCAAAAATGGTATTTTTAAATGTATTGGACATAATGTAAGAAAAGATATAGAGGTTCTAGATGATGTTATCTTCTTCCACAAAACATTAATTTTATTCTGGTAGGTAGGTAGCATCCAGGCACATCATTGTCATCTCATTGAGGCTTATTTGTCTCCATATTGCCCTTCCTAGTAGGTATAACTCTTCTGAGGTCTCATGTGAATACCTGCAGTTTTTTGTTTTTGTTTTTTGTTTTTACTAGAACCTGTCTTTTTTTTTTTTTTTTTTTTTTTTTTTTTTTACTAGATCCTGTCTTGATTGTGAAATCTCAATTCAGTATATTGCATGCAAGCCCATCACATCCTATGATTTGGTTGCTCTTCAGCGACTTCAAATAATCTTCTACTTAAACTAGTTTTTATAGTTATTCTCAGCGAAAGTTTAGTTCAGTACCAGCGTCTCTATCATAACCTGGAACTGAAGTCCCCCATGAGAAACTAACTTTTGGTGGCACGTAACATCGTATTGTGTGTTCTGTTTTAACTTGTTCTTAAGAAACTTTTTAGGTTGAAATAATGATAGAGTCACAGAAAGCTGATACTCTCCAGTCATTTTTCTCATTGGTTATATTTTACATAATATAGTACAATATTAAAAGCAGAAAGTTAGCATTGCTATAAAGCGTGTATATAGTTTTATGCTATTTTATCACCCATAGATTCATGTAATGACCACTGCAATCAAGATACAGAACTGTTCCATCCTCAAAGAGCTCTTGTGTGCTATCCTTTTTTTTTTTTTTTTTTTTTTTTTTTCGAGAGGGAGTCTTGCATTGTCGCCCAGGCTGGAGTGCAATGGCGTGATCTTGGCTCACCTCAACCTCCACCTCCCGGGTTCAAGCCATTCTCCTGCCTCAGCCTCCTGAGTAGCTGGGATTAGAGGCACCCACCACCACGCCTGGCTAATTTTTTTTGGTATTTTTTTTAGTAGAGACAGGGTTTCACTATGTTGGCCAGGCTGGTCTCGAACTCCTGACATTGTGATCCACCCACGTCAGTCTCCCAAAGTGCTGGGATTACAGGCGTGAGCCACCGTGCCTGGCCTGCTATCCTTTTATAGTCATACACTTCCTCCTTAGTGCCACCATCCCTAGCCCATGGGAGCCACTGTTTTGTTCTCCATCTCTGTAATTTTGTCATTTTGACAATGTAATTGTATTAGTCCGTTCTTGCACTGCTGTAAAGAAATATCTGAGACTGGGTAATTTGTAAAGAAAAGAGGTTTAATTGGCTCATGGTTCCACAGGCTATACAGGAAACATGACAGTTTCTGGGGAGGTCTCAGGAAACTTTCAATCATGGTGGAAGGTGAAGGGAAGCAGGCACGTCTTACATGGCTGGAGCAGGAGGAAGTGTGGGGAAGGTGCTGCACACTTTTAAACAACCAGATTTCAAGAGCACTTGCTCACTATCACCAGAGTAGCACCGAGGGGGAAATCCCCACCCATGCTCCAGTCACCCCCAACCAGACCCCACCTCCAACATTGGGGATTACAATTTGACATGAGATTTGGGTGGGGGCACAGATCCAACCATATCAGTAATATAAATTGAATGATACAATAGGTGACCTTTGAGATTGGCATTTTTCATTCAGCGAAATGCTCTTTTCATGCTATGGACATACCACATTTTGTTTGGCCATTTACAAAATGTCTTGCAAAATGCCTTTTCTCATGTCTGTTTACATTCTTTTGTAAGACATCTTGGTCGTTTTCAGTTTTTGGCTATTACAATGAAAATGGCTATGAATAATCTTATACAGGCATTTATGCAGAAATCAGTTTTGTTTCTTTGGGATAAATGCCCAGGAATATGTTTTGTTGGTTGTAAGTTATGTTTGGTTGGTTGTAAGCTATGTTTAGTTTTTAAAGAATTGCAGTATTTTCCAGGGTGGCTGCAGTTTTAGATTCCCATCAGCAATGTTTGGGAGATCCAGTTTCTCCACACCCTCGTCAGCATTTGGTATTGTAACTGTTTTTAAATTTTAGCTGTTCTGCTAGGTGTGTAGTGATATCTAATCATGGTATTAATTTGCTTTTCCCTAATGGTTAGTAATGTTAAACATCTTTCATGTGCTTATTTGCCACCCGTGTCTTTCTTTTTTTTTTTTTTCTTCGAGACGGAGTCTCGCTCTGTCGCCCAGGCTGGGGTGCAGTGGTGCAATCTCGGCTCACTGCAAGCTCCACCTCCCGGGTTCATGCCATTCTCCTGCCTCAGCCTCCTGAATAGCTGGGACTGCAGGCGCCCACCACCACACCCGGCTAATTTTTTGTATTTTTAGTAGAGACGGGGTTTCACCGTGTTAGGATGGTCTCGATCTCCTGACCTCGCAATCCGCCCGCCTCGGCCTCCCAAAGTGCTGGGATTACAGGCGTGAGCCACCGCGCCCGGCATCTGTGTCTTTTAAAAGTCGAATGTCTTTTCATGTCGTTTGCCTATCTTCTAAATGGACTTTATAAAAAATGCTGAATTTCGAAAATTCTTTATCAATTTTAGATATGGGTCTTTTGTCAGATATATGGTTTGCAAATGTTTTCTCCTGGTTTGTAGCTCATCATTTTCTCCCTCTCAACAGTCTTTCAAAAAAACAGAAGTTTTTAATTTTGATGAAGTAAAATTTATTGGTATTTTTCTTTTATGGATTGTGCTTTTTTTTGCCCCATGCCTAAGAACTCTTTGCCAAGCTCTTGGTCTTGAATATTTTCTCTTATGTTTTCTTCTAAATGTTTTATAGTTTTATGTTTCTCATCGATGATCTGATTTTGAGTTAATTTTTGAATAAGGTATGAGACTCAGGTAGAGATTCTATTTTTTTCCTGTCTCCAATTATTCCAGCAGCATTTGTTGAAAAGATTACCATTCCTCCATTGAATTGCTTTTGTACAAAATTATTTGTTCATACTTGTGCAGGGCTATTTCTGTGTTCTGTATTCCGCTTCATTCGTCTATGTGTCTAGCTGTCCACCAATACCATACAGTGTTGATTACTGTAGCTATATATGTCAGGTAGCGTGTTTTCTCTCATTTAATTCCTCTTTTTCAAAATTGTTTTACCATTTCCTTTGTCTTTCTATATAAATGTTAAAATATTCTTGTCTATATCTACAAAAAATTTCACCGGGGTTTCGATAAGAATTGTAGCAAAACTTGTGTATCAATTTGGGTTGAATTGGCATCTTTATTATTTTGTCTTCCAATGCGTGAACACTGTAGCAGGTGTTTTTGATTTGGCTTACTGTAACATTGTGGAAGAGTTCTTCCTGACTAAACTCTTTTCTGTTAACATCCTGCGCTTTAATTATTGCTTCCTATTTCCTTTAGCTGAGTTTTTAAACCTGCAGACATGTCAATTTCACATCATTTCTCTTTGATGGTAGTGAACCTCCATTGCATTGTACTATACACAGTTTGTGGTATAATTAATCATGCCCTACACTTAAATCACTAGCAGATTCAACATTGCATACCTTGATTTATCCAGAACTTTGATTTTTTTTTTTTTTTTTTGCTAAGAACTGTACCTATTTTTAGACTCTTTCACTTTCTCATCATGTCAATCTCAGAATAGATAGCACTAGTACTTGGCTTTCTGGGGCCCATTTTCCTCAAAGAAACAAAACGTTTCGTTGTTTTTTAAAAAAACACTTCTTGAAAACAAGTATATACAGTATGGTGATTACAATAAAGTCACACTGACATGCAGAGACGAGGACATTGGTGGGGTTATCAAAATACAGCCAGATTATCAGTAAACAACATATAAATGGGATACCTATAAATAGGCAAAATTTATGCCTCAGCAAAAATATTAGTTTAATAGCTAATGAAATGTTCTTATGTTCTTGGCATGGCTCAAGAACAGTTGACATTGTTATGTTGCCCATGTGCTGTTGAAGCCTTTATTCTGATAACATTGGTAAATTGTCCCTTACCAACGTGGCCATTTGTGTAAATACATTCTTTACTTCAGTCTGTGGTTTCACATTTTCACTGGTGGATGAATATTCTCAATTCTTAGGGGCTTTTAAAAAACACTTCCCATGTGTTAATTTAGTCTCATCTACCCTGTATTATTCTTCTCATTACATTTGCCCTGACTTTTGCAAAAATGGGTTGGTTATGAGAATTTCCTCAAAAAAGTCTTTACTGTGTTATGATTGAAGCAAATATGTAAATTAATTCTTCTTCACCATCATTTATTTTTACTTTGAGCTTTAAGTGGTTTTGCTGACTCCATTTTCTGGCTTTTGGTGTATAAAATGAACTTCCCTTTACTGTTTTTAGATCTCCCCGTACTGTGGCCTTTAACTGACATTTTTCTTCCAACCTGCTCCTAGGTGAGCCAGTTGAGAAAAAAATACATGTAATGGTAACATTGCACTGGAGCAAAAATCTTCCTGTATCTCTTAATATTTGGCATAATTGCAGCAACTCTAGTAGAATTCCCTTTTTCAGAAAAGAAGTTATAAATGTAAGAAAAGTTCAATGATGGGTGGAGGAAAATAGCTCATTAGGACATTATGATCTCTTGAACTGTGAATTGTTTAAAAATGATATTAAATTCTGCTCTTCATTGGTTGTTCTGGAAGAGTGCTGGTGAATGAATTTTCTAGTCCAGGCCCTAGAAAAATCCATGCAGCTTATCCCATTTATATGTTGTTTACTGATAAACTGGCTGTATTTTGTGATAAGAGAAAGTGGGAAAGATTAATGGGAACCACTCAGAGGTTTAGCAATAGAACTTAAAGAGAGCAATTTTCAAAAGGTAATTTTGAAATATGTACTTAATATAGGAACATAAATGGACTTCTTTAGGTATTTAATTTTAATATTACTTATATCTAGTATAAGTAAATACATTTCAAAACAGGGCACAGCAAGTTGGACATTTATAGCTTATACAGTGAGTACAGAGAGGACTTTTGTATTGGACTTAATTATTAATGCCTGTCATCCAGATGACTGAAAGTAGTTCATGAAAATCAGGAATGTTTATATAACATTTAACTTAAGAGAGAAATATTTCCCAAGGAAAATGCTTGATGATTTTTTATCAGTTAATGCTATTGCCTTTCATAATTTTTTAAAACCTTAGTGAAGTACTGAATTATTAGGAGTGAGGAATTTCCTTCAATATTCTGGAAAAGTCCATTTTTAAAAAATGGTGTCAGGCAAGAGTTTAGGCTTCTTAAATTATGCTTTATTTTCAAAGCTACTCCAGCTTATTTTTATTAGGCTATTTCTCAAGGAATAGATTTTATTTTATTGGTTTTCACGTTAATACTGTTTTTCCCTAACAATTGCATTTTATTAGAAAATTTTTCCTGAAAACTTAATGTTTGAAATGAAATGCACATAGAGTATGGCATGATGTGACTAAATATTTTCCTTTATTCTCTTAAATTTTTAATTGTTTTCCATTGCTCATTATAAACTGGTCCAGTTAAGCTACTGGAGGCTGGTTTGACATACCTGTTGGTGTTTTAACTTTTTTTTTTTTTTTTGGAGACACAATCTTACTGTGTTGCCCAGGTTGGAGTGCAGTGGCATGATCATGGCTCACTGCAGCCTTGACCTCCCAGGCTCAAGTGATCCTCCCACCTAGGCCTCTCAAAGTGCTGGGACTACAGGTGTGAGCCACCATGCCTGGACTGTGTTTAACTTTTTACCTTTCTATTTTTTATGATTTTTTCTTGCAGGCTGACTTGAAGCAAAATTGGCAGCAAGATCCTCCTGCCTCAGCCTCCTGAGCAGCTGGGCCTACAGGTGCATGTCCCTGGGCCCAGCTAATTTTTAAATAAGTATATCAAACCATCCTCCAACAGCTTAATTGGACCAGTTTTATGATAGGATGAATAACAGAAAACAATTAAACATTTAGGAGAATAAAGGTCTTATACTCCTGGTTTCAAGCATTTCTTCTGCCTCAACCTCCCAAAGTGCTGGTGTCACAGGATCCTTAGGGTGTTTCTTTACCAGCTGGAACCTCTGTGGCCAGTGGTGCCTCTGCTTGGGTTTTGCTTGCTCCCACTGGGCTTATTTCGCCCACATGGCCCGGCAGGCTGTGCTTGGTTTGCACTACTGTCCCAGATCCCACACCTGCCAAGGGCAAGCCAGGTGCAGGAGGCCAGGGTTGTGTGAGCAAGTGAGTGTGGGGTCCAGCCACTGTGTGTAGCCAGGCATGCTGGCTGGGGTGGGGTGGGCTGCTCCAGGTGCTGGCACAGGTGCCAGCTCCATGTGAGGCTGTGGCTGGATCAGACCTACTGCAAGTGGCTTCTGCTGTGGGCACCAGTATCTGGACAAGGAGAATGCAATGGTGCCAAAAGCTCAGAGATGCCAGGAACTGCAGAGCCCCAAGGAGGGTGTTACAGCATGTCACAGCCCTGGCTCAGGGAGCCCCCAAGGGCCACTGCTCTTCTCTCCTTGTTGCCTGCAATGTGGTGAGTGGGGGGCATGTTTCCAGCCTGTTTGTGTTACAACTCTTTCGGTCCTGCCAGGTCCCAAGTTCTAGTCCAGCGTCTGGGAAGAATGAGGTATGCAGATAACTGGTGGGTGAGTTAGTCGGAGAGGAGCTTCATTGAGTAAAAGAACAACTCTCATGAGACCTGAAGTGGGCAGCTCCCTTCCGCAGGCAGGTCTTCCTGACGAGTGTGCGAGTCCAGCTGAGTCCAGGGTTTTGATTTTTGTTTTTTTTTTTGAGACGAAGTCTTGCTCTTGTCCCCCAGGCTGGAGTGCAATGGTGCTATCTCGGCTCACTGCAACCTCTGCCTCCTGGATTCAAGCGATTCTCCTGCCTCAGCCTCCTGAGTAGCTGGGATTACAGGCACCTGTCGCCATGCCCGGCTAATTTTTCTATTTTTAGTAGAGACAAGGTTTCACTATGTTGGCCAGGCTGGTCTCGAACTCCTGACCTCAGGTGATCCACCTGCCTCAGCCTCTCAAAGTGCTGGGATTACAGGAATGAGCCACCCTGCCCGGCCGAGTCCAGGGTTTTTATGGGCTCAGAGGGGAGGAAGTGCGTGCTGATGGGTCCACGGTCGGCCATGGCAGGCCTGGAAAAAACACTATAAACTCTTACTCTGTGTTGGGGATTCCACTGGGAACTGGCCCCCTGGCCCCCAGGCTTCAGGTCGTGCCTGGCTTGAAGGTGAGGCTTCACCAGGGACCTACCCCTTCCTGCCTAGGAACCTGTTTGCCCCCTGTGGCAATCAACATTCTGTCCAAGATGCCCAGGCTGTGCACACCGAGGGGTGCCTGCCGAGCTGCTCTCAGCCCCACCCGGCTCCAGCCTTTCTCCCTGAGCTTGAAACTCCCCCAGAGTTTCAGAGGGGGATGAGGCGGCGGGGGTGCTGGTGTGTTATCGCTGCCTTGAGCGTGGGTATACAGCTGGCCAGGTCGCGATAGCGCCCGGGCTCGGCTTCTACTTTACTCTGAAATTGGAGCAGGCACTGGAGGTGGGGAATGGCCAGGGAGCAGGCACTTCTGACCCTGCTGGGGGAAGAGGGTGTCCTGGGCCCCCAAGAGCACATGGATGCCCAGGTCTGGAGCCATATCCAGGTGGCTGCAGCTGTGCCTGCAGCATGGGGCTCCCGTTCTGACAACTCAGCAGGGCACGGGGGTCCTGCTTGTTCCTCGTGCCCTCCGGCTCCATGGGGCATGCCGCCCCGGTTGTGCCTCCCCCGCTGCAGCTGGCATCCCCACAGTGGCTGCTCCAGAGGGGCCACCGCCGCCATCACTGGGATTACAGGCATGAACCACTGAACCCGGCCTGTGCAGCTTTTGAGATCAGTTGCAGTTTAGCAAACTCCACTTTCCACTGATCAGGGTCGGCTTCCAGGCATTGAGCGGATGGGCAGAGGAGATGAGAGACAGATGAAGAGAATACTCCCAGCAAAGGGGCAGAGACAAGGAGACATGAGCTGGTCTGGAGAGCAAGGGTTCATTAGAGATTTTTTCTTTAGTGCACCAACCAGCAAGGGGGAAGTGAATGCCAAAAGGAGCTGTGGGAGGTTTTCTAGAATGTCAGTTATAAAGCTACTTGTTGCACACATAAAATGGATTTGGAAACTCGTATTTAATCTTAAAAAAAATCTTTTAGTGTTTGCCAGAGCATTTTAATCTGAAAATATTTAAAAATACTCGCCTGTAATCCCAGCACTTCAGGAGGCCGAGGCAGGTGGATTACATGAAGTCAGGAGTTCGAGACCAGCTTGGGCAATATTGCGAAACCCCGACTCTACTAAAAGTACAAAAAATTACCCAGGCGTGGTGGCAGTCACCTGTAATCCCAGCTACTTGGGAGGCTGAGGCAGGAGAATCGCTTGAACCTGGGAGGCAAAAGTTGCAGCGAGCAGAGATCATGCCACTACACTCCAGCACGGGCGACAGAGCGAGACTCCATCTCAAAAAAAAAAAAAAAAACAAAAACTCATCTGTTAGTATAACTAATGCTCCAGGAAGCTGCCACATATTTACCTCAGGACCTATTTCTATCTTCGCCCCACCGCACGCTGAACTAGACACTTAAGGACCTAGTGTAGAGGACTATGAAGAGGATTGTTATAAGGAGTTAAAGGCTAAACCTGATTGTCATTTTAAGGAATTTGGATTTTATCCTGGAGTCTTTAGTTGATTGACTATTTGACAAACATCTACGGAATGCCTGGTTTGTGGTGGGTGTTGAGAATACAGATAGGGGCCCTGCTTTGGATGGGCCTCTCTCTCGAGCAGACAAGGAAGATCGTGCCAGGTAGTTGAATCCATATACAACGTGGACCACACAGGTAGTGAGAGTCAGCAAGGCCAGAGGCGAACCTCATAAGACAAAGGGGACCACGTAGGAAGTCACTGTCCTGCTCTGCATTTGAAATAAGCACTGTTCAGAGCCCCGCTGTCCAGTATGGCAGCCACTGGCCATGTGTGGCTGTTGAATACTTGAAATTTGGCCCCTCTGAGTTGAGATGTGCTGCAGGGGTAAGATGCATACCAGATTTCAAAGACCTATCATGGCAAAAAGAATATAAAATATCTCATTAATAATGCTTCAGGGTGGGCACTGTGGCTTATGCCTGTAATCCCACACTTTGGGAGGCTGAAGTGGGCGGACACCTGAGGTCAGGAGTTCGAGACCAGCTTGGCCAACATGGCAAAACCCCGTCTTCACTAAAAATAAAAAAAATTAGCTGGGTGTTGTGGCATGCACCTGTAGTCCCAGCTACTCAGGAGGCTGAGGCATGAGAATCGCTTAAACTTGGGAGGCAGAGGCTGCAGTGAGCCAAGCTCATACCACTGTACTCCAGCCTGGGCGACAGAGACTCCATCTTAAAAAAAAAAAAAAAAAAGCTTCAGTAGTGATTGATTACATGTTGAGATAATATTTTGGACATATTAGATTATACAAAATATATGGTTAAAATTAATTTCACCTTTTCCTTTTCGTCGTATTTTTTTTAACCATGGCTATGAGAAGATTTAAAATTTTTTTGTGTGGGAGCCCTAAATGATGGCTCATGTCTGTAATCCCAGCTACTCAGGGGGCAGAGGCAGAAGTATTGCTTGAGCCTAGGAGTTTGAAACCAGCCTGAGCAACATAGTGAGACCCCATCTCTAAAAAAATGAAAATAAATTAGCTGGGTGTGGTGGAACGTGCCTGTATCCCAGCTACTTGGGAGGCTGAGGCAGGAGGACCATTTGAGCCCAGGAGTTCAAGGCTGCAGTGAGCTACGATTATGCCACTGCACTCTAGCCTGGGTGACAGAGCAAGATCAAGGCTAGGTTTCAAAAAATAGATTAAATAAAATTGTATATGTGGATAGGCTATTGGGCAGCACTGCCATAACCTACGTACTAACTGTGAGATGGGGAAGAAAAGGATGACTCCTTGGGAGGAAGATGCGGCAATGGGAGGACACTGATGGATAGAGGCTGCTTTACACCTCTGAGGCCTCAAGCAGGATTCACCATGATGTCATCTGCATCCCTCCAAAGTCACCTGCTTTTGTCTTATTGCATAACTTGTTTCAAATGTTCTGCCACAACCTCCCCCAGCCCAGACATATTCATGATGTTCTTTTATGATTAGTCAGTCACCACGGGTAGAATGTGTGTTCCAGTGCCACATCAGGGATGACTTATGCAAACCCAAGATGGCCCTTTGGCTTAGTCCTTCTTCGCCCAGTGTAAGAGTCTGTCTTGTGCCTGGACACTGAAGACTGGGGGAGGGCAGTCCATCAGAGATGATTCAGGCGATGTTACGTTGGTGTGACTGGAACTATTGTTATATTATTAAACGGTAGAGGGGCCATCCTGGGCAAGAGTTGATTTGCAGGTTAGGTTGATGAGTCACCGATTTTGAAGCTGGTGTATGTCTAGGTAGAAATACTGAACATGCAGCTGGATTGTGCAGCCAGGTCTCGGAGAGGGATCTGGGCTGATTCCACATGTTTGGGAGCTATATTGATAGAGAAAAGGCTGTGGGAGTCACCCCATGTTTAGGAGGGCAGAGACCCAAGCGCTGAACCCACTCTCATTCTCATGTAGGTTTTATGCTTGGATATCACTGCGTGAATTTAAAATCTGAGCCTCTAAGCAACATTTTGGAAAGCCTGTTTCATAGTTCTGCTTATGCAGGATTTTCTGCCTTTTTTTTTGGCCCATGCATTTTTCTCTATGCTTAGAGGGGGAAAAATATGAGAAGAAAGTGTGTTGGAAAGAAAGTCTGCGGGAGGAGCCAAGATGGCCGAATAGGAACAGCTCCGGTCTACAGCTCCCAGCGTGAGCGACGCAGAAGACGGGTGATTTCTGCATTTCCATCTGAGGTACCCGGTTCATCTCACTAGGGAGTGCCAGACAGTGGGCGCAGGCCAGTGTGTGTGCGCACCGTGCGCGAGCCGAAGCAGGGCGAGGCATTGCCTCACCTGGGAAGTGCAAGGGGTCAGGGAGTTCCCTTTCCGAGTCAAAGAAAGGGGTGACGGACGCACCTGGAAAATCGGGTCACTCCCACCCGAATATTGCGCTTTTCAGACCGGCTTAAGAAACGGCGCACCACGAGACTATATCCCACACCTGGCTCAGAGGGTCCTACGCCCACGGAATCGCGCTGATTGCTAGCACAGCAGTCTGAGATCAAACTGCAAGGCGGCAACGAGGCTGGGGGAGGGGCGCCCGCCATTGCCCAGGCTTGCTTAGGTAAACAAAGCAGCCGGGAAGCTCGAACTGGGTGGAGCCCACCACAGCTCAAGGAGGCCTGCCTGCCTCTGTAGGCTCCACCTCTGGGGGCAGGGCACAGACAAACAAAAAGACAGCAGTTACCTCTGCAGACTTAAGTGTCCCTGTCTGACAGCTTTGAAGAGAGCAGTGGTTCTCCCAGCACGCAGCTGGAGATCTGAGAACGGGCAGACTGCCTCCTCAAGTGGGTCCCTGACCCCTGACCCCCGAGCAGCCTAACTGGGAGGCACCCCCCAGCAGGGGCACACTGACACCTCACACGGCAGGGTATTCCAACAGACCTGCAGCTGAGGGTCCTGTCTGTTAGAAGGAAAACTAACAACCAGAAAGGACATCTACACCGAAAACCCATCTGTACATCACCATCATCAAAGACCAAAAGTAGATAAAACCACAAAGATGGGGAAAAAACAGAACAGAAAAACTGGAAACTCTAAAACGCAGAGCGCCTCTCCTCCTCCAAAGGAACGCAGTTCCTCACCAGCAACAGAACAAAGCTGGATGGAGAATGATTTTGACGAGCTGAGAGAAGAAGGCTTCAGACGATCAAATTACTCTGAGCTACGGGAGGACATTCAAACCAAAGGCAAAGAAGTTGAAAACTTTGAAAAAATTTAGAAGAATGTATAACTAGAATAACCAATACAGAGAAGTGCTTAAAGGAGCTGATGGAGCTGAAAACCAAGGCTCGAGAACTACGTGAAGAATGCAGAAGCCTCAGGAGCCGATGCGATCAACTGGAAGAAAGGGTATCAGCAATGGAAGATGAAATGAATGAAATGAAGCGAGAAGGGAAGTTTAGAGAAAAAAGAATAAAAAGAAATGAGCAAAGCCTCCAAGAAATATGGGACTATGTGAAAAGACCAAATCTACGTCTGATTGGTGTACCTGAAAGTGATGTGGAGAATGGAACCAAGTTGGAAAACACTCTGCAGGATATTATCCAGGAGAACTTCCCCAATCTAGCAAGGCAGGCCAACGTTCAGATTCAGGAAATACAGAGAACGCCACAAAGATACTCCTCGAGAAGAGCAACTCCAAGACACATAATTGTCAGATTCACCAAGGTTGAAATGAAGGAAAAAATGTTAAGGGCAGCCAGAGAGAAAGGTCGGGTTACCCTCAAAGGAAAGCCCATCAGACTAACAGCGGATCTCTCGGCAGAAACCCTACAAGCCAGAAGAGAGTGGGGGCCAATATTCAACATTCTTAAAGAAAAGAATTTTCAACCCAGAATTTCATATCCAGCCAAACTAAGCTTCATAAGTGAAGGAGAAATAAAATACTTTATAGACAAGCAAATGTTGAGAGATTTTGTCACCACCAGGCCTGTCCTAAAAGAGCTCCTGAAGGAAGCGCTAAACATGGAAAGGAACAACCGGTACCAGCCTCTGCAAAATCATGCCAAAATGTAAAGACCATCGAGACTAGGAAGAAACTGCATCAACTAATGAGCAAAATCACCAGCTAACATCATAATGACAGGATCAAATTCACACATAACAATATTAACTTTAAATATAAATGGACTAAATTCTGCAATTAAAAGACACAGACTGGCAAGTTGGATAAAGAGTCAAGACCCATCAGTGTGCTGTATTCAGGAAACCCATCTCACATGCAGAGACACACATAGGCTCAAAATAAAAGGATGGAGGAAGATCTACTAAGCCAATGGAAAACAAAAAAAGGCAGGGGTTGCAATCCTAGTCTCTGATAAAACAGACTTTAAACCAACAAAGATCAAAAGAGACAAAGAAGGCCATTACATAATGGTAAAGGGATCAATTCAACAAGAGGAGCTAACTATCCTAAATATTTATGCACCCAATACAGGAGCACCCAGATTCATAAAGCAAGTCCTGAGTGACCTACAAAGAGACTTAGACTCCCACACATTAATAATGGGAGACTTTAACACCCCACTGTCAACATTAGACAGATCAACGAGACAGAAAGTCAACAAGGATACCCAGAAATTGAACTCAGCTCTGCACCAAGCGGACCTAATAGACATCTACAGAACCATCCACCCCAAATCAACAGAATATACATTTTTTTCAGCACCACACCACACCTATTCCAAAATTGGCCACATAGTTGGAAGTAAAGCTCTCCTCAGCAAATGTAAAAGAACAGAAATTATAACAAACTATCTCTCAGACCACAGTGCAATCAAACTAGAACTCAGGATTAAGAATCTCACTCAAAGCCGCTCAACTACATGGAAACTGAACAACCTGCTCCTGAATGACTACTGGGTACATAACGAAATGAAGGCAGAAATAAAGATGTTCTTTGAAACCAACGAGAACAAAGACACCACATACCAGAATCTCTGGGACGCATTCAAAGCAGTGTGTAGAGGGAAATTTATAGCACTAAATGCCTACAAGAGAAAGCAGGAAAGATCCAAAATTGACACCCTAACATCACAATTAAAAGAACTAGAAAAGCAAGAGCAAACACATTCAAAAGCTAGCAGAAGGCAAGAAATAACTAAAATCAGAGCAGAACTGAAGGAAATAGAGACACAAAAAACCCTTCAAAAAATCAATGAATCCAGGAGCTGGTTTTTTGAAAGGATCAACAAAATTGATAGACCGCTAGCAAGACTAATAAAGAAAAAAAGAGAGAAGAATCAAATAGACACAATAAAAAATGATAAAGGGGATATCACCACCGATCCCACAGAAATACAAACTACCATCAGAGAATACTACAAACACCTCTACGCAAATAAACTAGAAAATCTAGAAGAAATGGATACATTCCTCGACACATACACTCTCCCAAGACTAAACCAGGAAGAAGTTGAATCTCTGAATAGACCAATAACAGGCTCTGAAATTGTGGCAATAATCAATAGTTTACCAACCAAAAAGAGTCCAGGACCAGATGGATTCACAGCCGAATTCTACCAGAGGTACAAGGAGGAACTGGCACCATTCCTTCTGAAACTATTCCAATCAATAGAAAAAGAGGGAATCCTCCCTAAGTCATTTTATGAGGCCAGCATCATTCTGATACCAAAGCTGGGCAGAGACACAACCCAAAAAGAGAATTTTAGACCAATATCCTTGATGAACATTGATGCAAAAATCCTCAATAAAATACTGGCAAACCGAATCCAGCAGCACATCAAAAAGCTTATCCACCATGATCAAGTGGGCTTCATCCCTGGGATGCAAGGCTGGTTCAATATACGCAAATCAATAAATGTAATCCAGCATATAAACAGAGCCAAAGACAAAAACCACATGATTATCTCAATAGATGCAGAAAAAGCCTTTGACAAAATTCAACAACCCTTCATGCTAAAAACTCTCAATAAATTAGGTATTGATGGGACGTATTTCAAAATAATAAGAGCTATCTATGACAAACCCACAGCCAATATCATACTGAATGGGCAAAAACTGGAAGCATTCCCTTTGAAAACTGGCACAAGACAGGGATGCCCTCTCTCACCGCTCCTATTCAACATAGTGTTGGAAGTTCTGGCCAGGGCAATCAGGCAGGAGAAGGAAATAAAGGGTATTCAATTAGGAAAAGAGGAAGTCAAATTGTCCCTGTTTGCAGACGACATGATTGTTTATCTAGAAAACCCCATCGTCTCAGCCCAAAATCTCCTTAAGCTGATAAGCAGCTTCAGCAAAGTCTCAGGATACAAAATCAATGTACAAAAATCACAAGCATTCTTATACACCAACAACAGACAAACAGAGAGCCAAATCATGGGTGAACTCCCATTCACAATTGCTTCAAAGAGAATAAAATACCTAGGAATCCAACTTACAAGGGATGTGAAGGACCTCTTCAAGGAGAACTACAAACCACTGCTCAAGGAAATAAAAGAGGACACAAACAAATGGAAGAACATTCCATGCTCATGGGTAGGAAGAATCAATATCGTGAAAATGGCCATACTGCCCAAGGTAATTTACAGATTCAATGCCATCCCCATCAAGCTAGCAATGCCTTTCTTCACAGAATTGGAAAAAACTACTTTAAAGTTCACATGGAACCAAAAAAGAGCCCGCATTGCCAAGTCAATCCTAAGCCAAAAGAACAAAGCTGGAGGCATCACACTACCTGACTTCAAACTATACTACAAGGCTACAGTAACCAAAACAGCATGGTACTGGTACCAAAACAGAGATATAGATCAATGGAACAGAACAGAGCCCTCAGAAATAATGCCGCATATCTACAACTATCTGATCTTTGACAAACCTGAGAAAAACAAGCAATGGGGAAAGGATTCCCTATTTAATAAATGGTGCTGGGAAAACTGGCTAGTCATATGTAGAAAGCTGAAACTGGATCCCTTCCTTACACCTTATACAAAAATCAATTCAAGATGGATTAAAGATTTAAACGTTAAACCTAAAACCATAAAAACCCTAGAAGAAAACCTAGGCATTACCATTCAGGACATAGGCGTGGGCAAGGACTTCATGTCCAAAACACCAAAAGCAATGGCAACAAAAGACAAAATTGACAAATGGGATCTAATTAAACTAAAGAGCTTCTGCACAGCAAAAGAAACTACCATCAGAGTGAACAGGCAACCTACAACATGGGAGAAAATTTTCGCAACCTACTCATCTGACAAAGGGCTAATATCCAGAATCTACAATGAACTCAAACAAATTTACAAGAAAAAAACAAACAACCCCATCAAAAAGTGGGCGAAGGACATGAACAGACACTTCTCAAAAGAAGACATTTATGCAGCCAAAAAACACGTGAAGAAATGCTCATCATCACTGGCCATCAGAGAAATGCAAATCAAAACCACTATGAGATATCATCTCACACCAGTTAGAACGGCAGTCATTAAAAAGTCAGGAAACAACAGGTGCTGGAGAGGATGTGGAGAAATAGGAACACTTTTACACTGTTGGTGGGACTGTAAACTAGTTCAACCATTGTGGAAGTCAGTGTGGCGATTCCTCAGGGATCTAGAACTAGAAATACCATTTGACCCAGCCATCCCATTACTGGGTATATACCCAAATGAGTATAAGTCATGCTGCTATAAAGACACATGCACACGTATGTTTATTGCGGCACTATTCACAATAGCAAAGACTTGGAACCAACCCAAATGTCCAACAATGATAGACTGGATTAAGAAAATGTGGCACATATACACCATGGAATACTATGCAGCCATAAAAAATGATGAGTTCATATCCTTTGTAGGGACATGGATGAAATTGGAAACCATCATTCTCAGTAAACTATCGCAAGAACAAAAAACCAAACACCGCATATTCTCACTCATAGGTGGGAATTGAACAATGAGATCACATGGACACAGGAAGGGGAATATCACACTCTGGGGACTGTGGTGGGGTCGGGGGAGGGGGGAGGGATAGCATTGGAAGATATACCTAATGCTAGATGACACATTAGTGGGTGCAGCGCACCAGCATGGCACATGTATACATATGTAACTAACCTGCACAATGTGCACATGTACCCTAAAACTTAGAGTATAATAAAAAAAAAAAAAAAAAAAAAAAGAAAGTCAACAAAGGTCTGAGCTACGGACTCGATGTACCTACATTTGCTTTGGTTCAGGATCCACAGGTTTGTGCCCCTCAGTCCCCTTGTATGGGTACCCATGGCCCACACTTCAGGGAGGGCCAGGTTCTAAAGGGACAACCAAGATCCACAGGAGGACCCTGTCTTTCTTTATATATGTATATACATATATAAATACACCCCCCACATATATATATATATATACATGCATGTATACATATATATCATAATTTAGACATTTCTCATGCATTTATGTTCCAGATATGTGTTACATATATGGCACACACACACATACGCACACACTCTCTCTCTCCCTCTCTCTGTCTCTCTCAATATTCCATCCCAATGACCCATCCAGCTGGAAAGATGGTTTTATTGGCTTTTATCAGGAACCTCGCCCTTCCCAGGAGACTTACCTCATTTATATGGATAGGAGGCAGCCATTCCAGCCTAAAGAAACAAAACCTTTACTCATGAAAAGTCTTCAGTTTCTCCTGCGGCATGGCCTTCCTGTCCTAGCTGCATCCTCAAACTCTTCTTTCTTTTAAGGGTGAGCTCCACCAGGCACTACTTGGCGATGATCCCTGGGAGGCAGGAGACATCAGCACCTGTGCAAAGGGAAAGGCTAATTACTCCAAGATAACTGTGATTTCTTAATGGGGAGAAGAACTTGGTGGGCAAAGACCTCTTTAGAGATGAAGGTTTCTGTCCTAGTGACACCCTGTGTCAGCGAGGTCCCCAGGGAGAATCTCAGTTTGCTATGATCTGGTGCTGATAAACATTAACTGATTAAACTAGTGGCTGACATTATTGATCATGTACTGTGGGACAGGTCCTATTGTAAGCAGCGTTCATGTTATATTAACTTATTGACTCTTCACAGGATCATGTGAGGTATGGGAGGTTAAGCCACACAGCTCATCGTTTTGTGCCAGAACTTAAAACCTGTGTCAGAGCCTAAGCACTAAGCACTAAGCATGACTCTATTCTGCTATTAAGACAAAGTCCTTTTGTAGGAAGCCAATGATGATGAGCAAAGATGGCGGACATTTTTAATGGTCTGGAAATGAAGTATTAAAATTGCTATTGTCGATGCACCTTTGTATTAATTTGTTGGTGCTGCTTTCATGCACCTGATAACTGCCTGTTATCTTGATGGAATTAAAACCCCTGTGTTATATTCTTTCAAATAGGAAAACATATATATATATATATATATATATATATATATAAAATCGGATATAAAATCAGAGAGTAAACTGCCTCTTATAGCCGCCCCTCCTGCAGTCTTCTGTTTCCAAGTTCTCAGTACCATAAGGTTAACCCACGAAGCCTTGGCTAAGCAGATGTGTGTGGGCTGAGTGCTTGTTAGTTTCTGTGAGTTTCTTCTATATGTAACAAGTGTTAAATTGGACCCTGCTAGTGTTAAGATTCTTTATTTGAGCAATTTAATAGGGAAAGTTAGGTGTGAATACACGTTTTCAGTCTCACCTGCAGTGTCAGGTGATGTTAATTCTTTGATCTCCTTGCTATTATATCGCCTTGCTATTCTTATAAAATACTAGAGAAATCACTAAAGCCTGATTAATGTTTAGTTTTTGTGGAGCAAAGACTTGGAAATTTTTAACAATTTCCCCGACGATTTACTTTCTGTAAGCCCTTGCACACTTTCTTCTTTATAAATGTTTATAGTGACTTGTTGCCCGTTCAGAATTATAGCCTGGCCCTGCTTCTGGGATGCAGTATGGGCCCACTGTTGCCACAAGTCCCCTTTCAGAAGTTACAGAGAGCCATCAGCAGTTACCCTTTTCAACATTCATTTATTTGAAGACTAGGGAGTAGGAGGAGAAAACCCTCTAAGTGTTCTCTGGCAGTTTGGTGCATGCTTTGAAGTGAGAGAGAAAATTCCTCACGACCATGTAGAAGTTTCCCGATAAATTTATGTTCAAGTGGTGGCATTTGGGCAGCCAACAGCCAGATGAAAAGCCCGTGGAATCCCAGGATCTGGTATGTGCTTAGTGGTTCTCATGCCATGCCACTCTCAGGCAAGCCAGGTAACCCTCCCTCAGCACTTCTAGCCTTTCACTCGGGGATCTCATGCAGAATTTAAAACAAAAAACATGGGAGGGCTAAGCTCCTTTTTTGATAAATTGCAGAATGCCTCTTTATTCCACAGTCATCTCTCCTCTCTGCTTGTGTTGGTGTATGAGCTTGTTTCCAGATGGTTCAGTGGGACTGAGAATGTGAACTGATGAGGCAAGTATGTCTGTGTCTTTCTGGGGAGAGAAGGAGATAGTGGGCTATTTACAAACATCTGCAGGTCTTCCTTTCAGAGACAACAAAGCAAAGTGCCCTTTAACTGTGCTCCTCTATTTCTCTGCCCCAAAATGCTAGACACAGCAGTGGTTTATTTACCCACTGCTTCTTATATTACTGGCCTTACCACTCACTGAAATGGCGCTGAAAGATGACCAGGGAGCTCTCAAATGCTTTCCCTCAGTATTCATCCCCTTAAACTTCCCTGGAGGATGTGGGACTTTTGTCCACTTAGGCATGAAAATCCAGTGTGTATGTTATGCCCACGGCACACCTCAGTGCAGATCAGCCACATTTCAGGTGTTCTGTGGACACACGTGGCATATGGCTACCATATTGGACAGTGTGGCTCTGAAGAGTGATTATTTTATGACCCACCTCTGTTCTCCCTGGGCCTCTCTTGGTTCTCTCACTGTCCAAGTGTGAATGCCTCCAGAGTTTGGTCCTCGGTCCTCCATCATCTGCCCCCACATTCCATTCTCCTCTTTGAAGATCTAATTCACAACCACAACAGGAGCTCACCGTGGAAAGGACATTACCCCAGTGCCTCATACCCATTTTCACCTGGATGCTCATGGTATTTCAAATTCGGCTTATCCCAAAGCAAATCCATCTGTGTCAAGCTGGCTTCTCCACTTTCATCCATGCATCTTTCATTTTCCTGACTTCTAATGCTCCCGCTAATGTTATAAAGCAGTTAACAAGGCAATCAGGCTACATAAGCAGAAATCTGTGAATACTAAGACCCGCGAGCTGAGGGTATTATGGAAATTGAATGGCACTTGTAAGAAAGCCGAACATGTATAATGACGTACATAATTCTTATAGGCAGCAAGGTGACTAGGCATGTCTAGTTATTCATGAACATTAAGGTTGTTATTGCTTTAATTCACAAGCAGAGCAAGCGTTTTGGGTAACAGATGGAAAGGCGGGGGAGGGGTAGTTTGTGGCCCTCAGTCCCCTCCCTGATGCCAGGAGGAATTGAAGCTTTGCTTTCATCATCCCTCCTCCCAGCTGCATTTCCTTGGTGCCTTCACTGTTCCCAGTGTCACTGGTTAGGGAATAGTCCTTTGCTTTTGGCCAGGCATTTCTTGAATGTGCTAGTCCCTTTTTAATTCTCTAAAAGGAGAATTAAATTAAAAGCTGACTTGGGTCCCGACCTAATGTGGAGTTAACTGCTAATTTCACCCTCTGTGCCCATGCAGGAAGCATGAAAGTGCCTGATTGAAGGGCCGGGGCCGGCCCTCTTGTATACATACCCTGGTCTCAGAGAGCCTGGAATAACCTTGCCGACAGAGCTGTATTCCCCCAAATGCTGAATAATGATAGGAAAGCACCAAATTCACATCGGCTTTTTATTTTCATTATTTCTTATTTTAAAAGTAGGTTATTTCATTGAGTTATCTTTCCACAAAAACTACTCAAGGGTGTGATTGCCGTTTATGTTCATTTTGTAGCATGAGTCGTGAAATTTGAAGTGCAACAGATATTTTAGTTTCTCTATAGGCTTACGTAGTAGAGTGCATCCAATTAATATCAATTTAAAATTGATCTCCAGGGATATTAGGGTAGTGTTTACAGTGACTTATTTCTTTTCCTAATAGAACTATTTTATAAAACTTTAGTCATTTCAGCTACTGGGATGGAACCGTGACTTATCAAAAGGAGTCAAGTCTTTGGAGTCAAAAATATCTGAGTTTCAGTTATTGGTTCTACTATTGGAAAAGTTACTCTTGTCTTTTGGAGTCCCTTCCCTGTTGCATAAAATAAAATCTACCCCATCAGATAAAATTCTTAACTTGCTCCGCATGTGTTAATTTCCTCTCTACTGTTCCTGGAAGCTGGAGGAGGAGAAGGGAAGCAATGAGAAAGATCAGGAGGCTGAAGCCACAAGGGTATACAACAGCTGTGATTTTAGAAGAGTGTAATTGGGTGCACGTGTGTGTTTAATCTATTTGATTAGATTGCTTTCCTAATATCAAGAACCAAGAGCATTTGAGGTGAACTGCCCCATTACTTGATCTCAGTTGGAGGGGCCTGGAATCCTGGGAACTTGAGGGGGAGAAGAGAGCTATTCAGACAGGGATAGGAAGATCAGTGAGGCACCTGCTTCTGACTTTTTTTTTGAGAGGAGGTGTCCCTCTGTCACCCAGGCTGGATGGAGTACAGTGTTATGATCACAGCTCACTGCAACCTCCGCCTCCCAGGCTCAAGTGATCCTCCCACTTCAGCCTCCCAAGAAGCTGGGACCACAGGCGTGTGCCGCTACGCCTGGCTAATTTTTTGTATTTTTGGTGGAGATGGGGTTTCACCATGTTGCCCAGGCTGATCTTGAACTCCTGAGCTCAAGCGACCTGACTGCCTTGGCCTCTCAAAGTGCTGGGATTATAGGCGTGAGCCACTGCACCCAGCCTGCTTCTGACATTTTAGCCTAAGGCATGCTCTGTTAATGCCTGCATTAGTTTGCCTGAGCTGTCATAACAAAGTACCACAGACTCATTGGCTTAAACAACAGACATTTATTTCCTCATAATTCTGGAAGCTGGAAATTCAAGATCAAGGTGTTGGCAGGGCTGGTTTCTTCTAAAGCCTCTCCCCTTGACTCTTAGATGGCTGTCTTTTCCCTGTGTCCTCACGTGGTCTTTCCTCCATGTATCTGTGTCCTAATCTCTTCTTCTTCTAAGCTCACTAGTCATATTGGATGAGGGCTCACCCTCATTTCCTCATTTTAACTCAGTCACCTCTTTAAAGGACCTATCTCCAAATACAGTCACATTAGAGCTTTAACATACGAATTTTGTAGGAGGAGGGACACAATTCAGTCCTTAACCCTTCTTGTCTCAGTGGACAAGATTTTTGAACTTTTCTGTGTTTCGGGTTCATCCTTCCCTTCTTCCCAGTCTGTTACCTTTATCTTACTATGGTGTTATGATGGGGAGGAAAGGAAGGGTGCTGACCTCAACAGGGAGCCAGCATATTGCTTAACTAATCCAAGCCAGGGCTTGCATGGAGGATTTTTATTTCCCACAATATCATGGGTACCCTGTGCAGGGTGGTGAGGGGTGCTGGGTGGGACCATATCACTTTACTTCGCGATGCTGGAAGTGTTTGGGCTTTGGGAGGAAAGGTCACAGGCAGCGTTATGGTTTGAGTATGTAGAGATATTGGGCCTTCACTCTCCAGCTGCAGTAGAACGAGGTTGGCAAACAGCAGTCAAACTTATGCTTTTAAATGAGATAGAGCTGATACTAATGGACAAGTTGGTGCTATCCCCGGAGGAACATGAACTGCCTGTATTTGAGTATGTATATGTCTGCAGCTCTCGGATTATAGTGTTATGGCTTGTTGTGCCAGAGAGTTCTTCTCTTTTCAGGCTGCATAGAATATTTTCATGGCCACTGACCTTGAGAAAGCAATTCTCAGCACGCGCAAGTGAAAGGCAGGAGGACCCCTTTCACAGTAAAGCTGGGATTCCCTGAAGGAGGGACTGCATTCGGGAAAACTTCCAAATTGCTGAATTTCTTTTCTTCCCTCATTAGTTGCTGGTGCTTCCAGATGGCACCTGAACCAGCATCTGGGCCAGGAGAATAGCATCCTAGCCAGTCTTCACTCACTGGGCTTGGTTTTCGTGTGTGTTTGTAGCAACTCTGTTACATTTTTTTCTGTTTCCAGGTTCAATTCCAGGTTTAGGACATACTGCTCATTTCACTTTCCTCTCCTCCTCCTCCTCCTTCTTTGTTGCTCACCTGGTTACCTACCATGATGAATCATCTGATTTTATAGCCTACCAAAATCAGGATAAAAAATGTAAATGTTTTTGTTTAAAGGGAGATGCAAAATGTGAGAAGTATAATGAGTAATGATTCACTCTTCAAGTACTATTTGAGGAGGTAGATTTATTTCTAATGCCAGATGCACCAAGACATGTTTCTTTTCTTTGCAGCCCACAGAGATGTCAATAAGCAGAAAATGGCATTCGTATATCTTGTTAGAAACCAAGTGCATGGAAGTTGAATTTATCAGTGGATCTCACCACATTCTCGAATTTGAGATGTTGGCAGAATTGGTGCCCCTCTTGGTGTCTGGGTGGCCAGCCTGGGTTTCTCCTCCTACATTCCCCCCTCCACAGTGGGGCTTGGATGTGTTTGTAAAATGAGCCTTAATAAAAATGTGAGAAAGTCTCCATTTAATTTTGTGTGATTTTCATCTCAGAAGTTCTCGCATTATTTGGAATAGAGAAAACATCTTAGATCACTTTAGATAGATGGTATTCAACACAATTAGTTCTCTGTGCATGCTGGGTTAAGTCATTGGTATTTGTGCCACCCATTTGGCATTTGCTGGCACCAGCTGAGAACTATGTCCTGTACCTTTGAATTTAGAAATGAAATGCTGACTGCACTTGCCATTTCTGCCTTTGGAAATTAATGTAATATTGGATATATGTAATATTGGATACTATTGGAAATTAATGTACATGGAAGACATGATACTCCTTGACTGTACTTTTTTTTTTCCAATCCCAAGTGGCTTGGGGCTAGCCAGCTGTAAAGGCGTGTAAAGCATGCATGTCTGGCATGTTTGCATTTGTGGATTGGCAACCCTTGGTACGTGTGCCAAACGCAGATGGTTAGTGAGGTCCTGGCCATCTCCACGCTCCTGTGACCACCACTCATGAATCTCAGGAGAGATAAAGAGAGATAGGATGCAAGGGCTTGGCTACCTGTGCTTTTCTTTCCTTTTTCTACTTTCCTTGCAAGACTAAACCATATTTACAAGTTCCTTCAACAAATGTGTAAATGTGTATTGGATGCCTCCTGGAAGTTGTGTACTGGAATCAATGCTTTTCGCAATTTATTATCTCAAACTCCTGTGCCCTATGAGACAAAACAAAATAAAAAACAAAAGCCAGGGGCATTGGTGTTGTACGTTTCTTTTTCTAAGTTTGCTAATCTATGATTTATCATTCTTCCATGTTTTTGAGTTCATTACTTGGCTTAGGATTAAACCAGGGATTCAGAAATTGTCCTGCATTGGTTTTATGTTGTAGAAAATATTCGAGGGGTAATGTTAAGTTTTCTACCTACAAAATACATTCTTTCCAGCCTTGTTTTTGTGGTAGGTAATCCTTTCTCATAGTACTTAGACAGTTTAGGTTAAGTTGTCATGTGAAGGATACAAGATATGGCTCATAATATCTTACCTTCAAAAGAGGCAAGGACAGTATTCAGAGACAACATTTTATTTAATTTCAGTTGTTTCCAGTACTTACAAAGCCAAAATAACCCTTTCTTGCCTGAGTTTCCACTGTAACAGGAGAAGCCTTTTCTATTCCCGAATAACAAACCAAACCCACATGGGTCCCATAGATCTGGACCTCTCATTCTTAGATTAAAAATAGCTCCAAATTCATGGAAAGGCACCCTCTGGTTTTTTGCCCTTTGCACCTGCTGAGTCTCACCTTTTAAAAACCTCAGACCTCTCAGGAAATTCCCTGCCAATTACATCCATTTCATCTGCCTCCAACTTAACCCATTCTCAGTGTGGGGGTAACTGTATTACATAACGGAGTTCAGATTAATTTTTCTTACACATAAATGAAGAAAGCTAATATCTAGGTAGGCCTGTTTGAGAATAAGCAGAGCCTTTTCTTCCCATTCCTTTAATTGTTAGATTTTAAAATGCATTTCCAACTAAGATAGTAGTGTAGAAAAGAATAACCATTTCTTTCCATATACTGTTTTATTCCTTTTGACTACATTTATTATAGGAAATTATTTTTTGTTCAGTCTAGTACTAGTTCAGATATGTCCCTAAGAAATAGTGAGTCAGTAAGAGGTAACCATCTAGCCACATGATTTTAAAGAAATCAGACACTGAGAGTGAAATTAAACTAAAATGTATCTTGTCAAGTTTATATGTGACCTCACATTTATTGCCAGCCTCCCTTGAGGGATACAGTGAAATCCACACTACTTTTAGCCAATAGAATTGTATGTTATCTTGTTAAGAAATATGAAAAGGTAAATAGTCTAAACTGGTTTAGAAAAATAAGTCATGTTCCTTTTAGCTAATCCCAGTGTATCCCACGTGATGCTGAAATGCAAAATGCAAGTGGAAAACTTCAGTTGGTGGGAGTATATAGTGAATTTTTAAGTAATCTCTGGTATTTCAGAAGATTATTCTTAGATAGTCTGCAGAGATGAGTTTATAAGGCTGGTGTGGTCGGCTGAATAAGGGCCTGTATTAGTCCGTTCTCATGCTGCTATGAAGAAATACCCGAGACTGAATAATTTATAAGAAAAGAGATTTAATTGACTCACAGTTCCACATGGCTGGGGAAGCCTCAGGAAACTTACAATCATGGCAGAAGGCACCTCTTCACAGGGCGGCAGGAGAGAGAATGAGTGCTGAGTGAAGGCAGGAAGAGTCTCTTTCAAAACTATCAGATCTCTTGAGAATTCACTTACTGTCACCAGAACAGCATGGGGGAAACCGCCCCCATGATTCAATTACCTCCCACTGGATCCCTCCCATGCTATGTGGGGATTATGGGAACTACAATTCAAGGTGAGATTTGGGTGGGGACACAGCCAAACCATATCAGGGCCCTCCATGGATGTCCATATTCTAATCCCCAGAACCTGTAAATATGTTACTTTACATGGCAAAAGGGACTTTGCAGATGTCATTAAGTTAAGGATCTTGAGATTATCTCGTGCGGGGGCAGTGTAATCATGAGAGGATTACATGAGGGAGGCAGGGGGATCAGAGTCAGAGGAGATGTGATGATGGAAGCAGAGATCAGAGACAGTTGAAGGTGCCACATTGCTGGAAGGCCAGGAACCAACAGATTTTCCCCTAGAGTCACTAGAAGGAGTGCAGCCCTGCAGAACCATTTTACTTTAGATGTCTGACCTCCAGAACTATAAAATAAATTTGCATTGTTTTAAGACATTATGTTTGCAGTAATTTGTTACAGCAGCAACAGGAAACTAATAAAGGAAACTAATATAGGAATATAGGAAACTGGCATATACTTTGGGTGTCCTTGGTTATAAATGACTGAATGACTGACTGTCCTCCCTGACCTTCAGGTGAAGTGTAGTCTGGCATTTGATTTTTGAATGCAAAACAACTTCAGTTGCAGAAAATTCACGAGACTCTTTTACTGGGCCAAGGGTTTCAAGAGGAAGGCTCTGTTTTGAGAAGAAGGTTGGCATGAAAGTTAAAGGTTCAGTAGCTACTATGTCACATGTACAGTTGACTTGAGAATATTATCCCATGTGCATTACAAAATATAGTAATTTTGTAATAAGTTAAACCAGTTAAATGAAAATTATGTACTTGTGTTTAATGTCATACATTTATTTTTGGAACGACTTTCACATGACATTTGTGTAGAGTAAGAGCTTGGTTTGGTGAAGGAGTGTTACTATTCTGGAGGAAGATAACAATATAGGTTGAATTAGATGGTTAACTTTGAAAATGTGGCTTGGGACATGGACTGAATAGAAAAAAGCCTGGGATCAAACACCCCTGCTAACTACTGGGGGGTTCTGTGAACACCCAGAAACACAATTGGCAGCTCTTACAGCGTGAACTTCACCATCAAGCAGGTTGTTTCAGGATTCTGACTGAGGGATGGAAACTTTCTCTTGTAACCTGTCCAGTGAGCTTAGCATCCCTTAGGAAATGACTTACCCTAAGGAGGGTGCCATTCCCAAATCTCTGTTGGTCTGGAATTCAAACTGTAGAAACACCAGGGACTTTTCTTTCTTTTTTTTGGGGGGGGCGGGGGGGGATAGGGTCTTGCCCCATTGCCCAGGCTGGAGTGCAGTGGCACGATCTTGGCTCACTGCAACCTCCGCCTCCTGGGTTCAAGCAATTCTCCTGCCTCAGCCTCCCGAGTAGCTGGGATTACAGGTGTGCGGTGCCACACCTGGCTAATTTTTGTATTTTTAGTAGAGACGGGGTTTCGCCATGTTGCCCAGGCTGGTCTCGAACTTCTGGGCTCAAGTGATCCCCCCGCCTTGGCCTCCCTAAGTGCTGGGATTACAGGCGTGAGCCACTGCACCTGACCCAGGGACGGTTCTAAGACCTGTTCTTTAAATCCTAAACCTGAACTCTGATTTCTCCTTCCTCTGAGTCCTATCCTTGCCCTTTAAATTCCAGGCCTGTGCTGCCTAATGTGGCAGCCACCAGCCAGAGCATTCCTAGACTGAAGGTGCCCTGGAAGCAGAAAGCACAGCTTTTGATACCAGGGTTCTTGGCTGAGAAGATGGGAATATGCAGAGAAGAGCAGAGAGTCAACAGGGGATGGGTTAAAAATGGAGAGATGTTTTGATAGCCATATGTTCATTATTTCTTTTATTTTGTCCTGTTTCTTCCTAGCTCTCTCTGGTCTTGATTTGACATACGGATACAGCTGGAATGACAATTACCTAAATATACTAGAGCACCTTTATAATACTGATTTCAGAGGGAAAGCATGTTGAGAGAAAAGATCTACCATAAGGATGCGTTGTATAATGGGCTGTAGTCTGCCCACCCTTGGGTTAACAATGGGTTGATGTTACCTGGTGTGCCGTGTAGAGTGGTGTTAAGGTCAAATAAAGGAATGTAAAAGCAGGCTGAAATATCCTTAGGTACGCTCCAGATGGCCATTTTGATGCCTTATGAGTCCCTCAAATTAAAGAGTGTTTGTTTCCTTGAAGGAGACCCTCTGCTATCTTCTCAGGCTTGGTGTTTGCTCTTATGTGACTGTCTGTGCTATTCTGCCATGTGAAATGTCCCATTTGAAACCATGTTATTTTAAAATATATGTAAACATTGTTTATATATGTGGTATACTATACAGATCACAGATAGTCTTTTTTTTTTTTTTTTCCTTTTTTTTTGAGACAGAGTCTCACTGTCTCTCTGTTGCCCAGGCTGGAGTGCCGTGGTGTGATTTCGGCTCACTGCAACCTCCGCCTCCTGGGTTCAAGTGATTCTCCTGCCTCAGCCTCCCGAGTAACTGGGATTACAGGCATGTGCCACCATGCCCAGCTATTTTTTGTATTTTTAGTTGAGATGGGAGTTTCACTATGTTGGCCAGGCTGGTCTTGAACTCTTGACCTCTAGTGATCCACCTGCCTCATCCTCCCAAAGCGCTGGGGTTATAGGCGTGAGCCACCGTGTCTGGCCAAAGATAGTCTTATTATTATTTCAAAATCTAATTCAACTTGCTTCCTTCACAGCATTTCTTGGATAAATCCCACATAGCAGAATTGCCTTCTCCCTCCACATGCAGAACCTCACTTTGCTGAGGCCGGAGCAGCAGTGTGTGGGCGTATATGGGTGCTCTGTGACAGTGCTGTCCCGTAGAACTCCCGGTGAAGATGGGCATGCCTTATGTCTGTGCCATCCAGTACCACTAGCCACATGTGGTTATTAAATTCTTAAAGTGTGACGCGTTTCACCAAGGAACTGGATTTTACATTTTATCTAATTTTAATTAACCCAAATTTAAATACCCACAGGAGGCTTGCAGCCACCTTATTGGACAGCAGTGATTCCATAAGATCAT